>NC_000006.12:47635757-47938787 GCF_000001405.40 Homo sapiens | reverse complement strand
GACATTTCCAAATAAAACTAAAATTATAGTTAAATCTAATTCTGCCTGCCAGCAACTGTACTTGTGTAGCAGAATATGGTTGAAGAAAAACACACAAGCACACCACTATTCTCACTATAAATTCATTACCACATACCTGAATTTTCCCTGATGCAATGCTTCCCAGCAATTACATTATGCATCCCCAGTCCATTCACTACCCACTTGCCTAGTACTATGTTGCAGTTCTCTCCCATCGCCTTTAGTTGATGGTCTTGTTTTATATTTCACTGAGAAAACAGAAGCATTCAGAAGAAATTTCCGTAGGATCACAATCTACCTTTTAGCATCTGTAGCCACAGGCCCTCCCTTTTCTTTCCTGGCTTCTATCTAATCCCTTTGCTTCTTTGTTAGATTGTTGATGCCTAGAGGTGTTCTATAGACCAACAACATTGGAATCATCTGAAAAATTGTTAGACATACAGAATCACAAGCCCCATCATTCCACTAGACAATTCATGTCCAGTTCCCATTGACCTCCACACTGCTAAATTCAATGATTAATCCTCAGTCCTCATCTTTCTTGACCTATTAGCAACATCTTACAGTTGATCAGTCCCTCCTCTCTGAAATATTTTATTTCTTTTTCTTTTTTTAAGAGGGAATCTCTCTCTGTCGCCCAGGCTGGAGTGCAGTGGTGCAATCTCAGCTCACTGCAACCTCTGCCTCCCGGGTTCACGCAGTTCTCCTGCCTCAGCCTGCCGAGTAGCTGGGACTACAGGTGCGTGCCACCATGCCCTGCTAATTTTTGTATTTTTAGTAGAGATGGGGTTTCACCACATAGGTCAGGCTGTTCTTGAACTCCTGACCTCAGGTTATCCACCTGCCTCAACCTCCCAAAGTGCTGGGATTACAGGTGTGAGCCAACCCGCCCAGCCAAAATATTTTCTTTACTTGCCTATCAAGTCTCCTTCTTGGTTTTATTCCAATGTAGTTGCTTCTTCCAAGTCTCCATTGCAGGTCCCCTCTCTTCTTCCAACCCTCTTTCAGTTGAAGTGCCTTAGACTCAGTTCTTGGTCATCTTTTCCATATCCATTCATCTCTGCAGTGGTATCATCCAGTCCCCTGGCATTAAATACCAAATATATGCTGACAACTCCAAAGGTACACCTCCAGCCCAAACCTATGTCCTGAACCTCAAGTGTGTCCTGATGCTCATAGACCTAATAGCCATTTGATGCCTAATGGACATCTCAAACCTAGAATGTCTAAAACAAAACTCGTAAACCTTCCTCACAAACTTCCTTTACCCACAGTCCTTTCTGTGTAGGTTAGCAGCAAACTCCAATCAGTTATATAACCAAAAATATGGAATAATCCTTACCAGCTCTCTTTCCTTCACAAAGTCCATAAGGAAATAATGTTGATTTTATCTTCAAAACGTGGCCACACCCTCACCCCTTCTTACCATCTCCATTGTTACCTTACTGGTCCAGGCCAACATCATTTTTCATGATGGTACTACAGTACTTTCCTGACTAGTCTCTCTACTTCCGCTCTTGCCCTGTTACAGTTTATTATTGAAAAGCAGCCAGTCATTCCCTTAAAACACCAGCCATGGCATGCTTTTCCATGACTCAAAACTTCATAGTTGATTCTGATTTTACCCAGATGGAAGACCAAAGCCCTCACAGTGGCCTGCAAGGGGTTACATGATCTGACTCCACTGTCAATCTGACCTTTCTTACGATTCCTTCTGTTGCTTACTCTGCCCCAGCCACATGGGCTTTCTTGCTATTTTTGGAACACAGCAGACTTGCTATTGCCTGCAGCCTTCACATTAGCTGTTCCCTCTGCCTAGAATGCTCTCCAGCTTAATTCACTCACCTTTTCTAACCTAGCTTGACCACCTCTAGGTTAAGACTGGAGCGTTTTTGGATCAATCCTCTTTATCCTACTCTACTTTTTTCTATTGTACTCATCACAGGCTAACATACTATATATTTTACTTATTTATTATATTATTTCTTATCCTTTTTTGTGTGTATTAGAATGTAAACTGTAAAAGGGCAGGGATCTTTGGTTCATTGATGTGTCCCAACTGTTTAGAACAATGCCTAGCACATCACAATAGATGTTTAAAAAATGAACAAGGACTAAGTAAAGGGACAAATGGGGTGTTTGTGTCTTATAAATAGAACTTCACTGGGATATAGGAAAAAGAACATTGAACTGGAAGCCAAAAGACCTGGTTTGAAATTCTGGATTTGCCATTACTATGTTGGACAAGTCACTAAAACTTTCTCAGCTTCAGATTTTATCTCAATCAAGAGAGAGTCATGGTATCAGGGCTTTTCGAAATTATGTTTGAGGAAATGTTTTTGAAAGTACAAAGTGTTTAATAAAGAAGGGACCATAAAATTTACCATCTAAACTGAAACACTTTTTAGAGTGAAAGAAAGCACTCTTCCTAATTATCCAGGGGGTGTCCAATGTAAACCAGGACAAAGAATCATCCTCTATGTATCAAATCATATTGGATAGAACTTCAAGATATGTCTCTAGAATCTTATAATTCTCATCACGTCCACCAACACTGCCCTAGTCCAAGCCACCATCTTCTTTCACCTAGTCGACTGCAATAGCCTCTTGTTTTGTCCCCTCTTGTTTCCTATAGTGTTTTCTCCACCTCACCCTGAATGATGCACAATTATATGTAAATCAGACCAGGTCATTTCTGTGTTTCCAAAGATTCACAAGCTCTCCCTCTCACTCAGGATAAGACTCAACTACTTTGAATGGCCTACAATGCCCATTGTATCTCTGACATTCTCTCGTCTGCTTAAATGTCACCTTATCACCCTATGTGATAAAATACCAAGTCCTCCCTATCAATCATACTGCCACTGGTACTCTCTACCCTCCTTATCTGCCTCATTAGTTTTATTTTTCTCCATACTACTTGTTATCACCTAAAATTATATGCTTTGTATAAACGTATTCATTACCTGTCTCACTCATCAGAATATATCAATGAGAGCAAGAATGCTTCCTTTTCTGTTGCTGTATACCAGCATCTAAAATGATGTCTGGCACCTAATCAGTAATCTATATATTTGTTGAATAAATGAATATATAACAGAAATTGAAAGCATAATTAAATGCATACCAGATATAAATGAATGTGTTTAAAGCAATAACAAGAAAATGAGTATATGTATGTGTATTTGGTACTGATGAATTCCTCCTAAAATGCTTTCTTGGGGTTTGAGGCCTCCCTTGATGCTGTTTGGTATCTGAAGAAAAGAATATTAAGTCAGCCTTAGTGGTGATGTAAAGGAGAACTGGCAGAAAGCGCAAGATGAGCCAGGTGGTGTTACTTCTCTTGAATTCTTGCAGACATCTGAACAATGCAAAGTGCCCCATGACATGTTCTCATTTTAAAGGACTCCAACATACTAATTTTTCCCCTAATTGAGACTACCATAAGAACACACCTCTAAATACAATTCAAAGCCACAAATTAAGAGGTAGCATACGAATGATAGACTTCCCAATTGATCTTATAGTTTAATTAATTAATTTAACCCAAGAACAAAATCGGATATAGTGTATAAGGTTGTGTGCAATATGTGAGAACAAAATAAAGAAAAATGGCTCTGATTTTATAACAAGAGCCCTTAAAAGTATCCAATTTCTAAATCTATGACTCCATCACACAAACCCAACTTACTGGAAATTAAATAATATTCACTGTAAAACAATACCAAAAATAAAAACAAGTAACATAAGATATTTTTCAACCCTATTTTGTTATGTGAACATAGACTTATTTAATTTTAGACATGGGTGGAAGAAAATATTTTAAAACTTAATTTAATACTACTGTGCACATCCAATATATAAGTTGGTTTACAAAGTCCCAGAAGTTTGAACATTTATTTAAAATCTCTCTTCTCAAAATTGACATGGGTTTTGTAGTCATATACAAATAATATCTGTATTTTCACAAATATTTCTCACCAAGAGATGAAGATAACAGAATCAAAGTGGGTGAGGAAGTGAGTAAATACATAAATTGAAGGTATTTTGGGGAGTGATTTATTGAAGAGCTGCTACTTCATTTCAGACCCAAATGCTTTATTTTAAAATAAATACAGTTCTAGGAGTCTAAGGAAAATGTTTAATAAGAAAGAATTTTGAAAAGTGAACCAAAAGTCACACTGGTCAAATTTAACTGTTTCTTATATACTTTTGCAACTAAGTCACACATATATATTTTTATGCTACTAGATTACATTACCAGATTTAGATCGGTAAGATGTGCTGGAAAGCAAGCATTATACTCATTTTTTTTTTCTTGGCTTAATATCTAGAAAATTTCCATACATAATTGTGCTGCAGGACTTTTTCGTAGTTCAGCTAAAGATGGGGTTCTTTGTTCCATGGCCACGAAAATTCAGGCTTGCAGACAATTTGAGTGGTGAATAAGACAGGGTTTTACTGGGTGAAAAGGAAGCTAAAGGGGAAACAGGAACTCTCTCAGAGCCAGAGTCCCTGGAGAGCACTTCCCGCCTGCAGCTTGAATCCAGGTTCCACACAGGAAGAGGAGGGTCCCGGCTCCTCCCTGCCGCAAACTTCCTGAGGCTCCCCATCAGTGGGCAAGCTAGTTGGAGTTTCGCCTGGGACCCCCTCCCACCTGGCTGTCTCATTAGAGATCAATGGAATAGTTTCATGAGGAATTTGGTGATATGGATATACATGTACATTATATATATAGTAACATTTTAAACTGTGAACAGATTACCCTGTTATTCTACCAAGATAGTATAGAGATAACATCTGAAGTGTTTAAGTATAATAATCAAATGAAACATAATTTGATTAATAATAATTTGATACCTTTATTAAGAAGTAATTTGTTTTGTAATTCATAATAATCAAAATAAATGGCTAGCAGTTTAACAATAATATAATCAGGTAAATTCAGTTATTGTTTAAAACAGAGAAGAAAGAAGCTGTCCTTATTTTTGTAATTATAGATAAAGCATTTTTCTATCATAAATGAAGATTGGCCTCAATAAATAACTAGTACTCATGATTTCCAAAAGAAAGAACTTATATTAACTAATCTTATACTAAGTCTATGATTTTTCAGTAATTAATTGACTTGTGTCTTACTGCCCTACCTACTAGGCCAAAACTCAGTTTTTGAGAAGTATATTTGAATCCAGTTCATCTTGCAGGATTCATTAGGAATTTGCAGCACTTAAAATGTTTTTGGTTCCTTATTGAGATTTATAGTCAGGATGGATAAATATTTATAATCACTTTGAAATTTATTTAGACTAAAATGATTTCAGCCAAGCTCTCTCCAGTGCACAAAATGTGGGCCCTTGAAGAGCTACCTGCATCTTCGTGGACACAGAACTCTTTCTTGAAAAAACTTTTAATTCTCTCACAGGAGAATCTAGAAGAATATCCAGTAATGACTATTATTTGCTTTCATGCTTGCTCTTAGAAAATGCATCTGAAGTTATTGAAAGCACCTATGGAGCTCACAGTAGGGGAATAACCTCCCATTCACCATTTGTTCAATTGGGTTCCTGGATTTTCATTTCAGATGTCAACCTGGCCTTCCACTGGGTTGATTATCAGAGCATATGGTTCCTCCTCTAATCAGCCATATCAAATTCCTGCAGGCTAGGAACTTGCAGAAAGTGTAACCTTGAACTCTCACTACCTGACTGTGATCACAAGTGCAGCAGCAAGAAGTATTGTTTATTGTATGTGTGGCCTACATTATGTGTCATCTTTCTTCTAGATATTCTATACTCTCTTCCTTTGATTAATAATACAAAAAACTTAGTACCAGTGCACTACTCCAAGTCTTCACATATACCAACTAATTTAGCCTCATAATAAAACTATGAGGTGAATTATTTTATTACCCTCACTTTATAGATAGAGTCAGGGAAATGAAGTAATTTGTCCAATGGCACATAGCCAGGAAGTGGCAAGGTTGGGCTCCCAACTCAGGCCTGCTGTCTGCAGCCCGTGCTCCTGACCCTCACACTGTACCACACAGAACTAGCCTTGCGCTTGCTCCAGAATATGTGGGCGCCCTTCAAAACTGTGTTTTTCGGTAGCTTTACTTTGGCATTGAGCCACCTACTGTATTGCAGGCCATTCTGAGATGTAGCCTGATAAAACTCATCATTAGACTCATTGAAAAATATTACTCTGAACATAGTTACTGAATCACACCATGTACCTTTTAGGAAATTTCTCTCACATGTCAGAAAGAAATAAAACCTTATGCTCCTTATCGTATGAATGCCATTGGTCTCATTCTCATAATCTGTTGTGTTTATCCCTTTATTCCAGCCACTGGTAGAAGCTCCAAACCTAATTTTTTTCCACCTCTAGCCCCCATCTTTGCTCTTGACAAACATTCTTTCCTTTGTCTGAACTTGAGTCAGCCTCCTCTGAACTCACTTTTTAAATGCCTTACACAGCACAGTGCTAAATCCTCCCAGCAATCCCTGAGGTCACAACTATTAGATATGAGGACCAAGTGAGGATAGATTACTTATGTGCAGTCTCCTGGATAGTGAAGGCGGAAATCAGCTGGCTACAGAGTTGATGTTCTCAACTGCCACACCCTGGGGATTCTTCAGTGGAGAGCAGAGAATGCAAGCTAAGCAGGAGTGTTTCTAGAAAGAGGAAATTCCTGTGTAGAGAATAATGTCAGAGGTTGTAGGAGCAGTCCCCATGGTGCATACAAGTTGAGGCCCACTCTTAGGTTTTGCAGCATTATATGGATTTCTATAATGTCCAGTGTGTCCCAGAGAAGGAAGCCCTTTAGTCCTTGGGTCACTTCACCTTTGAATCTCAATTTTCTCACCACTAAAATGACTATAATTCTGGTTGCTGTTTATCTCCCCTACAGGAACTTTGGGAGGATACACGACACACTGTCTAGGAAAACTTCGTGGCCCCTAAGAGATGAGCATAATCATTACCCCTGCTATTGTGTGCCATTATTATGCTAATAATACACTTGTCAGCTTCAGGCCGAAGGAAGAATCTATATGTTTATTCAAAGAGCATACAGCCTAAATGAAAATGGAAACTTGCTTCTTCATATTTATTTTTAAGCATATTCACATTTGGAGATTATGTTTTAAAAGTACATAGCATTTTTACAGCAAGTAAAGGAATTATTTCATTGCTCCTCAGTCAAACAGCAACGATTTTACAATTACCTGTTTTTCTCCATCTGAAATTACCACTACAAATGTGCTCCTTTATTCATGCATTTAATTCTTAGCTTTTCAGCTGCCATTTGAAACCCTTGGCTTTTGATGTGCGTTCACAATGCTGTGTTCATCCATCTAGAATTACTTCTTTTTCCAAAAATGGGAAAACTTGTCCCAAAAAAAGTGCCAAGTACACATATATAACTCTGATTGGACTCTCATGATATTTGCATGTGTGGTGGTTAAGACCATAAAGCCACTTAATGACCAGGAACAAGGACTAGAGTAAGACTGGTGATCATTTTAGACATGGCTGCAGCCCCCTCCTGTTCGTGGTGAATGGGGAGTGCTAAGCAGGATGCTGCCAGGTCCCTCATTCAGGAACGCTTTGGGTGGATTAATGAACCTTCTGGGAAGGATGCTGTCTTACACAAAGTCAGCGTCAAATAAAACACAATGCTCGGCCGGGTGCGGTGGCTCACGCCTGTAATCCCAGCACTTTGGGAGGCCGAGGCGGGTGGATCACCTGAGGTCAGGAGTTCAAGACCAGCTTAGCCAACATGGTGAAACCCCATCTCTACAAAAATTAGCCAGGTGTGGTGGCAGATGCCTGTAATCCCAGCTACTTGGGAGGCTGAGGCAGGAGAATCATTTGAACCCAGAAGGCAGAGGTTGCAGTGAGCTGAGATCACACCACTGCCCTCCAGCCTGGGCAACAGAGCGAGACTCCATCTCAAAAAATAATAATAATAAATAAAATACACTTCATGAGTACATATGTATAACTTCTTCATAATACCAATATTTATAATATGAAAGGAGACAATATTTCCTGGACGTTGCCTATGTAATGTGAAGCTGCTAACTCACTCAAATTCCAAACTGGTCCAGAACTATCACTTGGAATATGCATTTTCATAGAACTCTGTGTACCTTCTGAGCATACATAGTTCTTATGAACTTTATTTTTTTAGGTTTTCTGGAAAGTAAATCTCCTAAAATTATTTTCTTTAATGTGTGTCTTGGATCCCTGGGAATATGTGCCTAGGAATACATAGAAATATAGTGATCTTGTAGACACACATAGCTAAGGTTTTGCTACAAGAAACCTTACCTTGATGTTGTAGAGTCTCAGAACTTTATTTTGGGAATTTATATTTTAAAAATCCATGTCTGTTTTACAGACTTTATATCAGATCCTAAACATCTGTATACAAAACGAAATTTTCATCCAATTACCTGAATATATTTAGAATGAATCTTTGGAATTATTTAATGTAGCTGAATGCTTAGGTGTAAGACATTGTTATGTGTCTGTAAAATACCCACCTTTTTTACCCTTTCAGAGAGCTTTGTGCTTACCCCAATGTGCTGCTTCTCCTCCCACTCCTTCTCTTTCCTTTCTTTTGCATCCACTTTAGAAAAATATATACTATTTTCTAATAGTTGATTTAAGGCCACTGACCCAGCTTTAACCAAAGGGCATGAAAGTCAATAGAACTAGTCAAAACAAGCTTGAGAGTAAGACTGCAGAACAAGTTTCTTACTTCAGACTCTATGCATTTTGTCATGTAAAAAGTGAATCTGAGAAGCTGTAGAAAAGCTGTAGAACAAAGAGCAGGTGTCACTGCTTCTGTCTAGCATGGTCTCCGATTCACCAATCTGTGAGGGGCGTAGAATGCTCCCACCAGGGTGAAATGAAAAGTGAAAGGGGCCAGAAAGAGGGTCACATTCAACAGCAAATAATACCTGGCAGTAAGCAGGATGGTCAGGATGGCTTGTGTTGGCACACAGACTTTGCACACTCAGTGGATATCCACAAATCACCTGTGAAACAGCACCAGAGCATTTAAGAGCCTGCTTCTCAGGCAATGATTCAAACTTTTTATAGCAGCCTGGAGTTCCTCTCTGGAAAATAATAATTTCACATCTATAGACATATATGGCACTGTAGTGTCACAAACTAAAATGTAATGGTGATTTGTTAGAATGTACAACTTTTTTACCTACTGCAAGATGAAAGGACTAAAGTTATGTTCTCTTCAAAATAGGCAGCATCTTAAAATGACCGCAAGTTTCAGGAGGGAAGAATTGCAGTGCTACAGAAGCATCCCTTTGAGCTTATCAGATACCCTTCTCTATTATGATTTATATTAAATATCAGTGTAAAGGTTAAAAAATAAAAACTGGCCACTTGGGTGCAAGTAGGCTCTTGATATTCAGTGACCTATTTAATGCTTTTTAAGTAGAACTTTTTACTTCTGCTAAATCTTCTGAGTTTGAATCTTTAGTTCAAATGAACGTTTTCATTTTGGTATGTAAATTATCTTTTACATGTGGATTATTTTACTTGCTTAGCCAATTTTTTTTCATTTTATACTGTTTCTAAGACAGATTTTACATATCAATATACTTACATAATATTTGATAGGATGTCTGGTTATTAAAATGAAATATTAGATACCAATGTATGATTTTTATAATAATAGCCTCATTCTAATGCAGCTCTATTTAGAACCAGACAATTTGAAAACATTCTCTATACCTCAGATGTGGCTAGCATCAGCTCAAATCTTGTTTTAGATTAGAAATTTCCACTCTAATGTGGAAAATCCATGATTGCTTATAATACTTCTCCTCACAAGCACCATTATGATAGGTTATTTATACATTAGTACATTGCATATTATTATAACTCATTCATTCAACATTAAAAACACATTTATTGAGTATCATCGACACCAAGTACTAACTCAGGACAAAGATGATCAAGACATGTTTCTTATCCTCACGGAACTCACAATGGGTGGGCAAAAATGTAAACAGGAATTGCTACAAAATAATATAAAGGCTATAATGTGATATATATCTGAATATAATACAATAGCATATAGCTATATACAAAGCATAGTGCTATAACAAAGACAGATCAATTCTTCATGGTTGGGAGTACATAAGGAAGTAACATTATTCAAGATGAATTCTTACAGAAAGAATGTCAATTAAATGGTAGGCCTGTTATCTGTTGGTATAGTTTAATAAAAATCACTGAAGACTAAAGAAAATGCTAAAAGTAACTTCAGTCATTTTATTTCCTCAGTAGTTTAGGGAGACTTTTTTGGAATCTCATCCCCTGTCCAAGGCCCCTGCCTTTGATCCACTATAACATAGTATTCTTTTAGATCTCCTAGTTTCATTCTCACTGACTTTCCTATTTATAGAAATAATTGTCAGTGCCAGTTGTAGAAACTCTTTCCTGCTAAAGTTGGAATGAAAATATTTCACTCATCTTAGATAAGGGATGCTCCTTTCAAAATTATTTAGATAGGCTTTTTTTACTGCCTTAGGAGCAATTTTTTAAAACTGAGCCAACTAGAAATCTTCAAGGAGGTGTGAGCTTGGAAAAAGCAATAGTCCAGAAAAACAAAGCCACTGGATGAAGGAATCCCTCCACGCCTCACATGGGCCACAAGGTGTTTATATGGAGAAAGACAGAAAACTGTCACCATGTATTTTATGTGATTTAAAATTTTATATGAAAGACAATGATGCAATCTATCAAACTTTTATAAAAATCTTTGGGTTTTTCATCTTGGTGCATATGAGATCAAAAAATAAGAAATAGGATGGGTACAGTGGCTCATGTCTGTAATCCCAGCACTTTAGAAGGCCGAGGCAGATGGATCGCTTGAGCCCACAAGTTCAAGACCAGCCTGGGCAACATGGCAAAACCCTGTCTCTACAAAAAATAATAATAATAATAATGAAAAAATAAATAAATAAATAAAAAACCATTGACTTTTTAAAAATGGAAAAAATAATTTAATCCAATATTCTCATATTTAAAAATAGAAAATACAAACCCAGATTGATAAAATGTCCTGGAAGAGATGACCCAGATAATTGTATGTATGGAATTAGAGAGAGAATTAGACCTCAAGTCCTAAGTTTTAGTAGAATGTTCTTTCTCCCTCTCCTTTTTAATGTAAGATCCAGTTCTGATCCCTTCATCACATCTTGTATCACTTAGATTAAAAGGTCATTGTTTTGTCCCATTCTTCATTGTGTGCCAAAATAATATTGTTTGGCAAAGGGCTCAAGCAAAAATTAGTTGCATCCCTGAGAGCAAGCTGCAACTCATGAACAACAGGACCAGCAGGGAATGAGTGCCTATTTCAGCATCTTGCAGATAGGCTACGGAGGGACTGCTTGACCTGAGGCAACATGTTCATCCCTACTACCACCCACATTCTCCCTATATCAATGGCAAGCAACAAGAGGCACAGCCCCACAGAGATTTTGCCTCCTTGTAGATCTCTCTTTTTAATAGAGCAAGTATGAGGTAGGGGATAGAGGGCACATAAGCATATCTAGTTCAGGCTCCAAGTAGCTGAGCTCAGGTGCCGACTCTTTTGGTTAGTCCTGAGAAATGATGGCTTCCAATGCCTAGAGAACTTGGGGGATCCCCAGTCCCATGAGAAGTTGAGTGGGTACAGCCTCTTCCCTGGAGGCAAAGGGCTCTCCAGTCCTAGGTAGCTCACTGGTAGGCAGTCCAAAGGGAACTCATCAGACAATGCTACTGGCCTCCCACTAAATGAACTTCAAATGGTGCAAGTGTTTCAATAATCCCCTAACTATAGATTTCAATGAGAAAACAGTAATAGTTATCAGGTTTTAGTGTCAGACATTGTGTGTGCTAATACTTTAGATATACAGTATAACCTTTAATCCTCACATCTACCCTGAAGGCAGATGTTACTTCCTTCACATTACAGATCAGAAAACTGAGGCTATTTGCCCAAAGATTATTAGTAATGTAGCTGAAACTCAAATTCAGATCTATGTTCTTTCTACTACAGGCTATTTGTTTGCATTTACAATAGTATCTTATTTTACCTATGAAATAAAATAATAGAATCAAAATATTAGCTCTGAAACCAATACTTTCAAGCCTATAATGTGCTTATGAATCAAGTGAACACAAATTACAATACAGATTCTGATTCAATAGATCTTGGATGGGGCCTGAGAGTCTGCATTTCTAACACAATCCCAGGTCAAGCTGATGCTGCTTATCCAGGGAACACACTTTGAGTAGCAATGCATAAAGTATTTTATGCATCACCTACTCTTTTTCATCCTATGGGATTTTAAGTTACAGAAAATCAGACATGTTATAGTTAAGAAATAAAAAATAGTATCCTAGTTCTATCAAACAAGTAGCATCTTTTCTCAGAAGCAGTCATATCCCATTAGAATAATATATTGTACACCATTAAGCTCTTTGGAGAAAATATATTTGTATAAGAGTGTCAAGGGAGACATCTATTCATTGGCCACTGTCAACCTAGAGCACTCACCTTTGCTCCTCATCTCCAGGAGAGACTTTTACTCCAACGCCCTGTCAAGATTGTGACAATTGCATTTACAATGTTGAGGTGAGGATGTTCTTCACGTGTCCTTTGATAACGCAGATAAGTTGAGCTACAACACCTTTGAATGCAGTTGTATTTTGTGTTTATTGGGCTCGACAGAAAGAGGAAAATGAACAAGAGTCTCATTTGCGAGAGTCTTGGAAGCCTCATCTGCCAACCCCCAGCCTCAGCCTCTGCACAACAAATTGCTCATTGATGTGAGGATCTCCAACAATCAATCCCCAGAACCTGTTCTGTACTCAGTTGAAGAATGATGAGATAAAGGAGGCATATGTAACTGGAAGCAAGTGGGAAACAAGCCCTGATAAATTGCCCCGAGACTGAAACAGAATAAGCAGAATACTGCATCTGACCAGAAGCGAAGAAAGGGCCATGCAAATTTATTGGGAAGCAAAGAATAACTAAAAGCAAGCCAACAAAGAAAGTCACAGACCCCTGTGGAGTCCCACCTTTGTGGTTGTCATCACAGGTCATGTGTGAGATGAGACAGGCAAAAATTTAAGGAGCTGTGATGCTTCTGTGCTTCTTTTAGGATTGCAGCAAGTCAGAAAGAAATCTGTCAGGTCCTCTGGGAACTCTTTGCTTTGATGGCATGAGTTGGTGCCACTCTTCTCTAAGAGAGAAGAACTTTTATGGTCAATTAAACTAAGAGTACTAGGAAAATACCCTGCCAGTGAGATGTGTAACTCTGTCTATAGATGGCTGCAGATAGTCACCATAACAAATGCCATATATTCATAAACATGATATAGGAATATCAACAAATATTCATGAATGCCTTCTTTGTCCCAGACATTTTTCTGAGTACTAGAGATATAGCAATAAACCAAAAACAAACTTTTTGCTTCATGAAGCTTAGATGCTGGAGGAGGAGACAACCACCAGCAGTAACAAAAAGCATATACATACACACACACACACACACACACATATATATAATATACACATATAAACACATATACATATATATTAAAAGCATATACATATATAAAATGTATACATATGTATATATAAAATGTCTGGTTGTAAGTGCTTTTTTATATATATAAAATGTCTGGTTGTAAGCGCTATACATATACATATATATTAAAAGCATATATACATATATATTAAAAGCATATACATATATATAAAATGTATATATATGTATATGCTTTTTTATATATAAAATGTCTGCTTGTAAGCGCTATGAAGAAAACAAATCAAGATAAGGGGAAAGAAACTTGGGAAATGCTGTGTTATATAAGGCGGTTGGGGAGAGGGTGTTTACGAGGAAGTAACATTTGATCAGAGGCTTGAATTAGTTGAGTAAAAAGAGAGAACAAAGTTAGACTCAAAGGATTATATTTGCATTCTTAAAAACATATTACAATCTGCTCTCAACTGGTTTTGAACAAAGTCTCAGTGAAAATTGCTTAGAAGCCCAGGGCCAAAGTTCTTGAACCCGTTCTTTTGAGCTACTAGTTACAGAATGCCTGTTATGAGTGGGGCACTGTGCTAAGTGCATCACATACCTCATGTCTGTAATCCTTACACGTCTATAAGGGAGACATTATGTTCCTCATTTTACAAATGAGATAACTGAGACTCACAGAGTTTAAGGAACCAGCCCATGATACTCGAAAGAAAGTGACAAGATTGGATTCACTCTGGGGTCTTTACCCACTTACCCTTAACCTCCACACCTACTCCCTCATTTTGAATGCCTCTGTGCCACTGAGTTTCAAAGTCATCTTAATCTTCACTTTGATAATAACCCAAAATAGCCTGTTAAACATCTTTCTCTTTCTCTCTCCTCCTTCATGTTCACTCTAAAGTGAATCTCGACTCTGGGCTTTTCCATGTAGTCATGACTCAGTTACACTGGGCAGCAGCAGGACAGTGCTGGCCAGCAATAGTCTGGATCAAGCATCCAGCCAAGCAGGAGAGACAGCAGCTCGGGATGAGGGGGAGGCTCACAAGAACCAGATGCTGACTTTGACCAAGATAGTGAATTCCATGTAGAAATAAATCAGGGAATAAAGGATGTAGCCGGCAAGGTGCAAAGCCCAGACAGGTAGAAATATTTAGGGCAGTGTCAATAAGAACTGGAAATGTCAAGGGGAGTGCTGACCATCCAGAGTTAGTTTTTTGTTCCCCATTCGTATTTTGTGAGTGATGTTAGCCTCAGCCAAGCACTGTGAAGTGGCACTCAGAAAGAAGAGGATTTTAAGGAATCACTGCCCCCAGCTGGGACAAGAAGCACGTGCCAAGAGAACTGAGGTGACATTCGTCATTCACCTGAGCTGACTCCAGATAACCTATTTAACCTATGCAACTAAGCATTCTTACATGTTCAAACTCATTTTTATGTCCAACAAATAAAAGTTCAGATGAGAAAAACCTAACAAGGAGCCTATACCATTTACAGTGGTTTTATAGTTGCCATTATCATTAACATGAAATATAAATCACCAACTTGACATCATCCATGCTCTTTGCATTTGGAACAAGAAAAGAAATCAAATGAAGGGCACAGAAACCACACTATAAGCTTATATCAAGTGTGGAAAACAAAAACAACACCAGTTTTATTCTTAACCTTAAAGACATCTGGTTGGAAATGACACAGAGGTCTAAGCAACATCGATCTGTGCAACTTAAGTTTCTTTTTATATGTAAGGACTCTGGAAAAACAAAATATCAAAAGTGCTTAGTGCTATAACTTGAGTAAGGCCAATAGATCTTTGATTGTGTTGGTGGAAAGAGTAGTAAGACTATAAGAATTCCCAATGAAATATAGTATATAATATACTTCCAAGTTCCAGAAATTAGAAAAAAGAAAGCCTGTAAAGAAAATGAGACTGCACTGCCTAAAACATATAGGGAAGTCTTTTTATCAAGTATTTTGATTTTCTCTTTTATACTTTGAATTTGAAGAATATTTTTAAATGTTATTTTTATGATAACATATTTAACTAATGACTGACAGAAGAGTCAGTATATCTGATGAATTTTCCAGCTATTAATAATTTCTCTGATATCACTTTCTCTCTATACTCCTGTCCAGCACTAGTCAGTAAGACATCAGCACAAGAGGAAACTGAAAACTCAGATGATAAGAACCAAATATGTACCAAAGGCTCCAAAAAGCAAAATAAATATTCAGATAGACAAGCTCAGGCAGTAGAAGCTACCAAAAACAGTGTCAGCAATAAAGATATATGCATTCAGCAAAGGAATCCCAGTAGGACTGAGCAGTAATTGGGAACCAGGCATGTAAAGAGAGTCCATTTTTAGGCAAGGAAAACCAGTAACAAGAATAATACTCGCTACTGAATCCAAGGGACTGAGCTCTGAGCTAGGGAATCCTTATATGTTTCCTTGTATCACAGAGTCCTGTTGCAGATGAGCTGAGCCTACTGGTGAATGACCAGCCAGCTGTGAACATGCACAAAGAGTTCATTGAACAAGGGCACCCCGCCAAGGGAATGAAGGGGGATTGAAATCCAGCCCAGATTCCACTTGCCAAGCCATATGCTCTGTGTGGCTCTGGATCCACATGGAGGAAGGGATTCCTTTATCTGGTCCCCACAATGAGCCCTCTCGCCAAGTTGTGAACTGATGGAACTGCAGCCATTTAAATAATAGCCTCTTTCTAATTCCCACGAAGGAGCCAGTTGGGCCGGCAGGGGGGCTGGTAAAGGAAACCAGACACTCATATCCACAATGGGAAGGTGGTGGTGAAGAGAGAAAGGAATGGAGATGGGATAAAAGGAAAGAGTCAGAGAGGAGTGAAGTCAAGACATTAAATGTAGAATTTAATAAAATAAGTTTACTTCATGATTTCTTCCAGGAACTACCTTGTATTCAAGGAGTCTCCTAAAACTAGTGTTCAGTTGAAAATGAAAATTTGAATATAATAACTACATTAGTTAAAATTAAGCTTGGCTATGAGTAACACAAATCTACAAAATAGTAACTTTTTTTTCTTTTAAGACAGGGTCTTACTCTGTGGCCAGGCTGAAGTGCAGTGGTGCAATCATACATCACTGCAGCCTCAAACTCCTGGGCTCAAGCAATCCTCCCACCTCAGCCTCCCAAGTAACTGGGGCTCAGGCATGCACCACCATGCCTGGCTAGTTTCTTTTCTTTTCTTTTCTTTTCTTTTCTTTTTTTTTTTTTTTAGACAAGGTGTCTTGCTATGCTGCCCAGGCTGGTCTCAAATTCCTGGTCTCAAGTGTTCCTCCTACCTCAGCCTCCCAAAGTGCTGGAATTATAGGCATGAGCCACCCTATTTTGCTGCCAAAATAGCAACTTAAAATAAAAATGTATTCTTCTCTCAAGTAAAAGTTTGAATGTGGACAGTCCAAGGCTGGCATAGTGACTCCTCTTCTGAAACCCATTGTGATTCTTGGCAGCCAGCTACAGAAGATGTCCTTGTCTTCAGGGTCCAAGAAGGAGATGCAGTCATCGTGTTTATATTTTAAGGAGGGGGATAAAAGGAGTGGTAAAGAGCTCATGGCACTGTCTCTTAAAGAAATTTCCCAGAAGTTGCTATACTATGTTTCAACTAATACGGCATTGTCTAGGGCTTAGTCACATGGCCACACGTAGCTGCAAAAGAGAGTGAGAAATATTGTCTTATTTCAAGTGGCCTTAAGCACAGCTGAAAATTAGGGGTAGCAAGAGGGAGAAAATGGATATTTGGGTAAGAGATTAATAGTCTTTAATAGAGAGACAAAAGCTGATTTTTAAAAACAAAGCCAAAAGATAAGATCATTTAATTAACAAAAGATAAATATAAGTGGATAGCAAATAGGATGGTGAATGTGTAATGTACTATTAACCAAAAGCGTAAAACAAAGCAGAGAAATGGCACTTTCTCCTATCATATTAACTCTTGAAAAGAAAAAAATGCTGAATAATTTATAGAAAAGTGTCAGAGTTAATAATAACTATCTTGAAGCAGTGGGACTACAAATTTATTTTTGTCATAAGATCATATTTTATATTTAGAGTAGTGACAATAATATTTTCTTTAAATGTTAGCCAGTTGTTTTGCTTTTTGTTTGTTTGTTTGTTTGTTTTAATCGATGTCTCTTTGTTTAGCTGTTGCTGCAGACAACTTCAGTCCTTGTCTCAGTGGCCTAAGCTGACAGTGTGGTGAATGGAATGAGACTTTGGTGATCACCTTTTCTTCCTTCCTCTTTCTATAATCTCAGCAATAATAGGCAGAATCTATTTAGCTGTTCTCAATAGGTCCCCAATTTCCTTATCTTATCCTTTTCTTTAACGCTTGGGTGGCAGCCATCATTCTCTTAGGAATGGAATTTTACCTTTTTTAAACCTACATGTCTATCCATAAGCTAATTCTTTACACTATGTGTACTTGTTTGTCCAGACTTATGTCTTTCTGATATTCTTCTCTAATATAATTGTATGGGTGGATCTTTATAAGTGTTGTGGAGCAAAGCAGTAGACAATGGTAAGGGATAGTCATGCTTATGAGAAACAACCAATTCTGTGGGCAGGATTGTGAATGCAAATGTTGGTTGAATCCACATCCAATATTGGATGACAATTTCAATTTTTATCTTGAACTCTTCTTTCTCTTCTGGGATACAGATTCATGCATGCAACATTTTCATTTGATGGAAATTAAGTATCTCAAAATGTATCAAATTCAGAATACAATGCTTAATTCCCCTCACTCTGCATATACTTGCTAATTCCTAGGTTTCCCCATCTGGACCCCCACCCTACAGCTAATGAAATCACAAGCCACACAATCACTCAGGTAAAAATCCTAAATCATCATCGTATATACATATACATTTTCTGCCTTTGCTAGCTCCATCCTATCCTCAGTAAGTTCTATTTGACCCACTTTCAAATTATATCCCAAATCCAATCTCTTCACATATGTCCTGTGGTACCTTTGGTCCAAGCCACTATCATTTCTTGTTCAGTTACCACACTAGCAGTCTGTGTTAGTCAGCTTAGGCTGACTGCTTAAACAATCAATACTTGAACTTCCAGCTTAACACAGTAAAGGATTATTTCTAACAGGGAGGCTCTGCTCCATACAGTCATTCAGGGACCGGGTTCCTTCAAGCAGTGACACCACCATCACCTAAGTCCTCGAAGTGCAGCACAATCACATGAGGAGTTGTAAGGTTCAGATCCTAAAGTGGCCTCCCTCATTTCCACCCACATTCCACTGGCCAGAAGTCAATCACATGACCCGACCTCATTGCAAGGCAGACTCAACAACATAGCCTTTCTGTCTGGCCAGGAGGAAAATAAAACATGTTTTAGTGAACACCGAGAATTGTTTTTGTTAGACATATATCCTGCTTCGACAACAGAATGTCTTTTGGAAAAATTAAAAATCACAGCCTAACACTGCCCTGTTTAAAGCCTTTTAATGGTTGCCCTCTGGGATTACACAAAATGCAAACTTCTTATCCTGATTACAAAATCCTACATGATCTCTGACCCTGACACTTCCTTTTATTTATAATTTTCTCCCCTCTCTAAGCACGCTCATGGCCTGGGGCTTTGGTAAAAACCAGTCTCTCTGCTAGAACTCTCTTCTTTCCTATCTTTAGATATTTAACTCCTTCTTATCATTCTGATTTCCTAATTGCCAACTCCTCAGAGAGGCTGTCCATAATCAACTGATTGAAAGTACTCTCCTTACATACCCAATGGCTCACTCTCTAATTACTATATTTTGCTTATAGCATTTATCATGATGAAATTATCTTACATATGGTTTTATTTTTATTTATTATTTTCTGAAGGCCTTCACTTTGTTAAGAGCAGGGATCTGGTATGTTTTGTTTTCCATCAAATTCATCATTAGAACAGTGACTGATATATCACAGGCTTAAAATATCAATTCAATTTGTTGAATGATTGAATACCTATTTTAGTTGAATGTGAGTTTGGGTTCAATTGCTCTAAAAGGAACCCAAAATAATGGTACTTATAATCAAAACTTATTTCTCTCTCAAGTAAATAATTTGGGTATAAGAAGCCCAAATTTAAGCAGTCCAGGGCTGTTATACTGTCTTCACAGAGCCAAACTCCCAGATCTCTTCAACCTCGTTGCTTGGCTATCACTACGGGTTCGGTCTAATCTAACTAGTTCACTATGGCTCGCACCTCATCCGTATTCCAGCCAGCAGGGTGGGAGAAAATAGGACCCAACCTTCTTTATCCAGGACTCAGAAGTTGAACACATCATTTTCTCTTACATCTCATTGCCCAGAACTTAGTCATGTGATTACACCTAGCAGTAAGAGTACATGAAAATTTCAAAGTTAATCTATGTAACCATTTTAACATTGTACCAGGATAAAAACTGGAGTTCTGTTATTGTAGAAGAAGGAAAGATATACTGGGAGAAAACTAACAGTCTCTTCCATAGTATTTGAAGTGATTTTTTTTTCCACTTAGAATTTTATAAGGGAAAAAATTCCATTGAAAAGAATTGAATCCACAGTAATGAATGACCGCTACAGCATTTGGAACAGTTAAATATGCCTATAGCTAGCCAACTACAAATATTGTGCAAATATTCTAACATTACTCATCCTTTTCTTTTAATTACTCAGAATACCTTAACGAAAATGGCATAGAGCAATCTCAGACTTATTTCTTATTCAACTTTTTTGGTACTTTGTTGTCCTGGTTCTTGTCTTGTAGTCCAGGATCCCACACCATTGTATTTCCCCAGGTTGATCTGGATTTTTTTTCTAGTTTAGAGTTAATAGAATAATTGCAAAGAACTCAATTTCAGGTTGGATCTTTAAAATGCAAAAGCATTCTATCTTTACTACATTAACTATGCCAATAGCATTTCCATTGATTTAGCTATTCTTGTTCTTAGAAATACAGTAATATGCACAAAATGAAAATTCAAAAAGGGTGGTTTTCTGGTGCAGACATGAAATTTTTTAGGTCCAAATGTCTGTGAATGCCCTCTGCAGCTGCTATTGGAGGGTTAAAAAAAATCCTAGGATTTTGTGTGGAAAAGATAACATCTGTGTTGAGTCTAAGATAGAAAACACGTACTTAGAAGCTGTTTCCTCTGCTGATTTTTCCCCTCTCCTCTTGGCAAATCATCTTCCTAGACCCATCCATCCCCCCGCCACCTCTAAGCTCTACTGCTTCAGCAACTGAAGTTTGACGTTATGCCTGGAGATGAAATTCTGCTCAACTGCAGTTTTAATTTTTCTATTTCTTGTACACTTTTCATGGTTACAACTATATTATTCATCATCTTGCTACTTGGAATTTTTTTTTCTGTGAGGGTCTTTAGCACTATCAGAATAGAAATAAATTGCAGGTATGTCTATCTTCAAGAAAGTATGATGAAATCCCCAGAAATATTTCAAACTTCCAATAACTCCACATAGGAGACATATATACTGTACATTCATTTGGCAATTGTAAGATTTCAGACCTTTTTTCTCCAGCGAATGTCTCAATTTATTTGAGTTTGAGGAAATTTATAAAAGTATATGCATAGTAGAATCAAGTGTTTTCTTCAAGATGGTTGATGAACTAAAAGGGTTATGGGATACCTAAAGAAGGAATAGTAAAGAAAACATTTCAAGACCAGTGTGAGGTGGTTTATAGTGTCCTTGTGTTTTTGAGCATCTACCTACTTAGTAATACACGATTTGTATATGTGAGAGCCATTGTCCATTTCGCTGATTATGCATTTTCATCAATCTGACTTTTGTTATTTAGACTGTGTAGAGTGACTGATGATGCTTTCAATTCTAAATCAGTTTAAAACATGACCTTGAGCAATTTACTTACCTTCTTTGTGGCATGGGAATTTCAAAATGAATGACTAATTCTTTTACTCTGATTCTTTTAAAACATAGTAGTCGTTTTGCCCAAAATAGCATTATTGAAAAAAATATATAAATTAAATTTTGAAAAATATAATTATGTTTTAGATACAAAAATGTAATCATATTTTGCTTTGCTCAAAAGTAGTATTATTGGAAAAAAGATACAAATTAAATTTTGAAAAATATAATCATGTTTTACATACAAAGTTGTCCACTATATGTTACTTTATATTATAATTGTAGTTTAGAGAATGAATCTCTATAGACAAATAAGCAACTTGATTTTAATTCAATGAAGATCTTTATTAAACCAGGGAATTTCTTTAAAAGATTAACTGAGGAGTACCACCCCAGGAAGATGTAAATACAAAGTTGTTTTATTTTTCTCTAATTATTGTCTCCAACTCAAGCTTTAACATTTTGGACAGATTCTATAACTTTAGGTGAAAAACTTTTTAGTTATTACAATTCAGCCTGTTTCACAATAAATCTTCAATTTTGTGGCCCATTAGCCATTATCAACTAGCCTTGTAGGAGGAAGCATGGTATATTCCTCCGGTTCTAACACCTTAGAGTATATGTGTGTGTGTTTGTGTGTGTGTGTGTATGTGTGTGTCTGAACTGGGGGTTCAGAAAGTTTGATTCAAGGGGGTAAGAAAGTTTGGTTCAAGGCTGCCTACTTCTGCCCCCCTTTTCTAGGTCTAGCTCTTTCATAATTGGGAATGGAGATAAGGGGGCAGATTTTCCTAATCGACTGATTATTTGTAGGTGGTGGGGAGAGAGCCTTTTCTTGCTTTGGCTCAAAATGGTCCATCCTGCTGCTGGAAGCCTCAATAGTTGTGGTAGTCTTCGCCTGGATGATGGGGGTGGTTTGCTGAGGATTCCCTCAAAGAGGGTCAGCAGTACCAATGCTTGGATTCTGGGGTGGGCTATGACCTCATTTGGCCAGTTTCCACCTAGGCAATTTGTGTCCTGCCTCCTCCATTAACATTTCTGCTCCTTCAGTGAAACTAGCGGGACTGCTAAGGTCCTTTCCCATTTACTGAGAGAGCCACAGGAACCGAGAGGAGAATATCAGCATCCTCTTATCTTGAGCCACACTGCACAGTCCCTTCTCACTCCACTGATGTCAGGTCCTCCAGCAGCCTTCAGCACTTTGTGGGATTGGCAGAGCAGAAGCAGTCACCGGTCTTTGCTCACACTCACAGCTTCAGGGCATGAACACACATCACACTCTCTCAAGAAACCTCTCACCATGCACTGGATGATAACACTGAAACAGGATTCAGATTCTGCAGCTCGGAAATCTTTCAGCAGTGTGTATAAAGGATTCTTACAGTATCACCACCCAGTCCATCCTCACTCCCCCGAAATTCCTCACTTTCTCTTTTGCACTGAGACAGTCAATGGTATCTTGCAGCCTTTGTTACTGATTTTGTGAAGTTAGGGGTGTTCTCAGGTACTTTGTGCTTCGTTGTGCCAGTACGGGGCAATGCTGAGGCAATGCAAAAAGTCCTAGTCTATGGTTCTAATAAAGATGGTAATTATAAATGTCAAGCACTGTAATTTATTATCAAATGTATTACAAATAAAATAGCATTACAAAGAAATTAACTTCCAGGTGTGCCTTTTAGTTTTCACTCTTTTTCAGCTTCAGTTTTCTAACATGCAAAAAAAAAAAAAAATCTGTCTTCTATTTTCTATGAGTCTTTTCTACCAGCTGAGAGCCTTTTGGAACTTTCCACCATTTTCTTCAGAGCTGATGTAACCACCTTTAATCTGCGAAAGATGCTTAGGACTTTCAACGCCAACCAATAATTTTCCTCTCTACCCAGGAATTGTCAGCATCTTGAAGCGATCTCCATAAAGAATTTTCTTATAATTTGTCATAAACTTGAATTCTGACTATGCCTCAATAATGGTTAATATTACAATATAAACCTAATACATAAATCAACATACCTAGCAATGTAAAGAAATGCTGGCAAAATAAATGTCATTTTCTTAAATAAATAAGTGCTTTAAGATTTAACATCAGCTTTTACAATCCATATTGACATGCATTTTGGAGAGCCTGAGGCAACCCTTTTTATGGCTTTACTTTTTAAAGCAGAGAAGTAGTAAAAAGCCTGTGACAATTAATTAGGTTTCTTTTCCATGGAATTACCACTGTAGACCTTTCAATATGGATGTTTAATCACTACCTCAGGCAGACATATTTTATTGGCCCAAATTTGAAATGAATTCTCATAAAGATTCAGGAAGTAGCTTTGGAGAAATTTGAAAAAGTTGATGAAAGAGGAGAGAAGAAAGAACATTATGATAAATAGTATATCACTTTCATGCTCCCTTTTGACTGATTTACACAGTACTCACTCTTTTATTTCTTCTTTCTTTATTGATTTACTTGACTGTATTAATCAGGGTTCTCCAGAAGAAAAGAAACAACAGGAGATGGTACAAATATAGATAGATAGATAGATAGATAGATAGATAGATAGATAGATAGATAATAGATAGATAATAGATAGATAGACAGACAGAGAGACAGACAGACAGACAGATAGATAGATAGATAGGTTCTATTATATAAAAATCTTTTTATATATTTTAATTATAATAATATTATATTAATACTAATTAGAGAGAGAAAGATTAACTATAAAGAACTCACATGATCCTGGAGACTGAGAGCTCCCATAATATGTCTTCTGGAAGATGAATACCTAGGAGAGACAATGGTGTAAGTTCAAGTCCAAGTATAGGAGAAAATTGATGTCCCAGCTCAAAAACATTCAGTCAGAGAGAGCAAATTCTCCCTTCCTTTGCCTTTTGTTCTACTCTCACCTCCACTGGGTTGGATAAGGCCCATCCACATTGAGAACAATTGGCTTTACCCAGTGTACTAATTCAAATGCGAATCTCATCCAGAATCACCCTCACAGACATGCCCAGAATAACATTTAACCAAACTCCTGCACATCCTGCAGCCTAGTCAAGTTGACACATGAAGTTAATTGTCACAATGACAGTAAGAAAACACTTAAATGGCTGCTAAAACAAACACAAAACATACTGGTAAAGAAAACAAAAAGATTCTATCATCCATACAGATATTTTGTGTATATAATACCAAACATAAGTGTATTTGAATGTATTTTGTAAATTAACTGCATTTTCCCACTGTTATTCATATTTGTGGTATGGCATAGCCAGATCATTGGACAATAACAAACATGAGAGAAAAAAAATCACTATTATGTTAACACTTGTACATCACATATATTCAGAAACAGAGTCCAGCAGTCTGGATACAGAGTGTGCTAATATCTACCTCAGAGATAACCTGCATCAGAATTGCCTAGATGCTTTTTAAAAGAGCAAGTTTCTGAACTCCAACTCAATCACAGAAAAATGTTTAGAGAAGGGGCATTAGAATCTACATTTTAACAACCTCTGCAGAATCAGCCTCCTCCAGCATTCTTCAGTTTCGGCATCTCTGCTCATAGACTTTTTCTTTGAAATAACTGGAGCCTTGAAATGAGAAGTGGTTAGAAAATAATTTGGGCTCTCTTTGTTTCTGTGCACTGGGGTCACTGCTTACAGTGGTAGTCCTTTTCAAAGGGGTTTCAACTTCTACTTTTATCTACACCAATCTAACCCAGAATATATAATATTTTCCCCATTATGAATCAATGACTTTATCTTATTAAGCACTAGTTTGCCCTGAAAGTGCAAAACCTTTACTCAAAATTCAATCATTTTCTTTCTCTGATTTTTTACCAGAGTGAAAAAATAAATTATGACATAAAAGAGAAACACATTGCTTCAGTTTCTGGAAATGAGGATTGGGATTGCAAGTCACCCAAATCAAAAGAAGCTAAATAGTGTGAGATACTTGTCCTCATTAGAGGAAATAAATATGACTTTTTCTTGGTGTGCAAAGTGATATTTCGCAAACCTCATTTTATAGTGCTCCCCACTGGGACACTGTCATTATAAACAGAATATTATTTAATCCTCATAAAAACCCTATGAGATTAGTACTACTATTGAATTCCCATTTTACAGATGAGGAAAACTGAAGCATAGAAAGCTAAGTGCCTGGCACAAAGTGACACAACCAATATGGGGTAGGGCCAGGACTGGACCCAGGATCCAAACAGAATGACAGAAACTCAAGTTTTTAACAAATACAAACTGTAAAATTGGGGATAAATTAGCTTGTAGCAGTGCTGGTCACTCAGAACTAGAGATGACTGTCTAAGATGACTTTTAAGAGAGATTCTCACTCTCATCTTGAGCAATCACATGGGGAAGCAAGGCGAAAGATAGAAAAGCTAGACTAAAAAGAACATTTTAAAGATTATTCGGAGGAAGAGGAGGGAGAAACAGGAGTTGCTCAGCATTTCCACTGAAATTCAAGTCACCAAAATTTCCCACTTTGCACTCTGTGCTGCTCTTGGAACAAAGCCTTGCAGATAATATTTTTTTAATGTATAGTTCAATGAATTATATTATTTGACAAGATGAAGGGTTTATTTTACCTCAAATTATCTCCCTACTATTGTTACAGTTCATCAATTATTGATCCCAATAATAATGTCACTAATTCTTATTCATTTGAATTATTAAATGTCTGAAAAAGAAAACATTCAAAGAAGGTATGAAGGAAGGTAATAGTGAGACTGAGGAAATGGAAATACAGTTGGTAACAATGAAAAATGGACATGTAGAGAGGAGAGCATTAAAAAGTAAGTGTAACTATTTTGGCATTTAGTGTTGGGGGACGCAATGGTCAAGGATACCAAAAGTCTTGTAATGCATTGGCAAGGCCAGTTTTACAGAATTCTCCTACTCAAAATGTCATAACCTGTCCAACTGAGAACTTCTGGCCCAGAATTACAGGACAAGGCATTGTAGGTTTTTCTAATTTCAGAAACTTACCCTCCACTGGGATGGGGTTTGGTGGGGGATGGGATGGGGGTGGGAATTTCTTCCTTTTCTAGATCAAGAAGGTGTCTATTGTCTAGTTGCATGAAGGATATGTTTTATCCTTTGGTTTTCCAGATCTGCTGCCTTTTGTCCCTTGAGCAAAACCCTGCTACCATCATCACAGATGCTGGAGGGGAGTGGGTAATAACCCTAATCAAATGGTCAATTCTCTATTCTCTTCTTTATCAGCCCCAGAGCAACATTTGACACAATTGATCATGCCCTCCACTTGAAACACTTGTGTCACTTGACTCCTTGTTGCCACATTCTTCCAATTATTTTTCTACCTCCCTGGATGCTGCTTCTCAGTCTATTTCATTGAATCCTCCTCCACTATCCACCTTCTAAATATTGAATTGCTCCAAGGTTTAGTCCAAGGGTCTCTTTGACATTTCTCAGCATTTATTCCCTAGATCTCATCCAGTCTCCTGGCTATCTATACATGAATGATTCCCAGAATTCATCTCTAGCTCAGTCTTCTCCCTTGGACTCTGGACACACATGTTTAAATGCCTACTTGACATCAGAATGTAGATGTCTACTCTACCGGTCATCTCAAATTTAACATGTGCAAAATAAAATTATTGGTTCCTGCCATCCTCAGAGCCCTTTCCATGACTATTCCTCATTAAGTCTTTACCAATTCAGTCAATGTCATCACTGACCATGGGGTTGCCAAGGCTCAAAACCTGGACATCATCCTTTACTCCTTTCCTCCAACTTCATTGTACTGTGTTACACAAGGTCCTATATGGAAAAAGAATCCACAGTAGGTGACTCAAAAGAAGACTTGTGATGTAAAGAAATAGTAATAAAGGAGTTGGAAGAAGCAGCATAGAGATTAGAAACAAACAGGAAATTGCTAAAACTTTAGTGCTTGAGGGAGAAAGTGAGAGAGTGTCACCAGAGCCCAAGAGCTGCCCTTGGGTGGGGAGTGGTAGGTTTACATAGTGGCTTACATACAGAAGACAGGTGGCTTATCTAGAGGAGATGCAGCCATTTGTAGGATGCACTGCCTGAAAAAGAAGGGAAAAGAAATACTCTGGATATTTTTTATCCCCTTGCTCTCCAGTCTCCTGTTAGTGCTTCCCTTTGACCAAAGCTAGCTGAAGACCAGAGTGCAAGGAACCTTTGGGAATATATTTTCCAGGGGAAAAACTGGGAATGGATCCAAGAACAGTAAGCAAGTGACCACCACAAGCACTAATCATTCTTTGGCTTTATTTTTACATACAGCTACTTGCTGTTGTTGTTGATGATGTTGAATATTTGTCTCCTCTATTAGGTCATGAGCTTCACTAAGAAGATGTGCTTTGCCAATTTTGTTCTCTCCTGTATGTCTGGTGCCTAAAACAGTGACCAACATACTGCACTGTGAATAAATATTTATACGTGAGGAGAAGGGGTAGATTTTAACTAAAAATGTTTATAACATATTCTTCTATCCAAAGTCTCAGCGAGGGTGTTATTGCTTTTCAAAACCCCTTAACATCTTCAAATCATATGGCTATCTCTTACCAAGAGAAGAGACTACACGTCTCTTGGAACAATGGATATTTAGGGAGTGGATACTAAGATTCAGGAGGGAGGGCTATAATGATGCCATACCAGAGATTTAAAAAATATGTAGACTCACAAGGAGTCAGTAGCTTACAAGGGCTATCTTGATTTAAAGAACCAAAGCTAAAAGAATGTATTTTTCTAACACATTCTCTTTATTATTTGTATGGAAATGTGTAGCTTAGACTGGAAAATTGTTTCTAAAGGGTTTTATTAAGGTGATTCCATTATTAGGGGAAGACAGGAAAAAAATAAACACACAATGAGAAATAAGGCTCTAATTTTATGAACAGAAATATGCAAAGTAATATGCCCTCCCTCTGTGCTGTGGTTGTTCAAGTTATAGGGGGCTAACAGACACAGGTTTGAACTAATGGATTCTCCATCTTGTGGAGGTGTTTTGAGTAGCTCCATATGGCAATGGACGTCTTGACTAGGTGAGGCAAGAGGTAAACAGTGTCTCTTCTGCTGATCCATCATATCATAAAGTGAATAAATGATAAAAACAAAACACCAAAATATTAACTAAGGAAGATGACATTGTATCAATGTCTACAATGGAGAAAGTCCTAGAGGAGACAGAAGTGTTTTACACATCCAGTGAAGAGCAACGGCAATAGTGCCAAGATCTTAAGTATCTCCTACTAAACTCACTGCTTTTGGTCAGATTTTGTAAATATTAATCAGTTATTAATGACCTCCTAAAAGCAGCTAAAAACAAACACGTTTATATAAATTTAATAGCAAGTTATTACGAAGTTTTCCCAAAAACATTGGAGAGATAAACTTTAGACTGAACCTGACATTTCTCATGCCAAACCATAGCTGGGGCTATGATGTATAATATTATAATGTCATTAATTAGAAGAGAAGGACAGAAGGGAGTGAGGAAGAAAGGAAAAAAGGAAGAATGGACTTGGCCAAGAAAATCTAAAAGAAGTCAAAAGATAGAAAAAAAAAGTCCAGGCATGGTGGCTCATACCTGCAATCCCAACACTTTGGAGGCCAAGGCAGAAGGATCACTTGAAGCCAGAAGTTTGAGGCCAGCCTAGGCAATATAGTGATACCCTGTCTCTACAAAAAATAAAAATAAAAACAATTATCCAGCGTGTGGTAGTTCTAGTTACTCAAGAGGCCAAGATAGAAGGACCGCTTGAGCCCAGGAGGTCAAGGTTACAGTGTGCATCTTAACACTGTAAAATATTAAAATATTTAAATTTTTATTGAATATTAATAAGGTTTTGAGCATATAACTTTTGTCTCTAATTTAAATATATTAAGAAAATATGCATTGCATGCTTACTGGTTTATGATAATATCATGTGAGCAAAACCTTTCAATTTCCCCATTTTAGGTTAGCATTTTGTACTTACATACTAATCTACATCATATCATATGAAGAAAAGATTTAACTTAACATTTCTCAGAGATTGGAGAACTGGCATGACTTTGCAGAATCTATAGTCTCTAGGTGTTTGATGTGTATTCTCTCTGGTATTTAAACTACCTCAAATTACAATAATAATTTTTATCTCAGGATTACAGTTCCCTTCTAGATTTATTTTGACCCTCCTGACTAAAGTAGCATTAAGCCTGTATATTAGTGTGAACAAATCATTCAAAACATAATTTGTGGTTTTAATTTTAGTAAATATATATTATTGCCCAATGTATACCTGGCAACCTGCTAAGTAGTTAGATATTTCATTTATGCAGTATTCCTGAGAGAGAGACTTTTTAAATGAGCAAAGCGTTGTGTCTTTTCTATTTGCATCATTATTATTATTTCATTATTCCATATTGTAATCTTTTCAAACGGATCATTAGTCACCTACAGTTTTACATTTACTCTCAAGGAAGAATTTTATTAAAATGAATATTTCATAATAGTTAGTAGGAAAGATATGGGTCCTAGGCAGCTGAATTTATAGTCATGGCATAATTAGATACAACCAAAAGATTTGGTGAGTTACATTTATCATTTCTGCTAAAAACCATGACATTCCTTAAGAAAACATTGGTAGAAACCATGACGAGGTCTCGATAAGATGCGTTACTGAGAGGTGGTGACTTCCAGCCCAGAATAGATTGACAAAGAGTGGCATGAGGGAAACTGACTTAGCTCACAGACTCCTTTGGGCATTATGTTCAAAAGGACCCCCACAATGGGGTAATATCATATTTATATCAGCTGATCCATTCACTAGAGTCCATTCATTGCAGAAGCCATGTGGAGCAGAATCAGCTCTCTGTCCTGGAGGCATTAGTCAATGCATGTGATGCTTGAGGTGGAATCACGACTTTGAATTCTAGGCAGGAAAAAGGAGACAAAATCCCAATTCATGGGCAAGAGCTGGAGGGTGAGGGGCAGACTGAGAATTGATTGATGGCCATTAGAAAGTTCAGTGCTCACCCCAATAATAATAGTAACTGGACATTTGGAGCACCACGTTATAAGACCATGTTATAGATCCTAGTTTTCTTTTAGCTGAGTCCCTCTTTAGACTCATCATGGAGGTTCTGGTCTGCCTTTTGGGGCTATGGTTCCAATGACAACTCAGTTTTCACAGCCTTTGCAGTGCTTTTTGGGTCTGCTTTGTGTGTGGGCTACTCAGGGGCCAATCCATAGCTTGGGCAGTATTCTATACTGTAACTCTTCTCAAATCTTTTACAGTGTTAATTCTAATCAATTTCATGTAAGGGTTGCTAAGCGTTTGCCCATATAAAGGTTTAAAGAAAACCTTTCTCCAGCTTCCTCCTCTCCAAAATCCTCCCCTTCTAACTAATTGATAGAGGGAGAAACATAGCTTGAGGTGGAAGTAGGGGAGTCCAGGTTTCCCCTACAGTCTGCTGACACCATCCTGGCTACAGGGGATTCTGAAAGCTGTGTGCTACCTTGCCACAGGTGGAATTGGAAGTCCAGGCTCCCTGCTCAACCTTTGCCAGCAGCACAGGGGAACAGAGGTAGGCATGGTTTTTTTCATGATGTTTTGCTGGAATGGGGCGACTATTGTCAAAAATATTGGTATCCTGCTGGACCAGCTATTTTCTGGTCCTTTGGTGATAGAGAGCAGACTTTTAACAGGACTTTTTGGCTGTGCCTTTTGGCATTTCCAAGTCATGGGCTTCTCCAGCCCCAAGCCTAGGGTGTATGGAAGGCAAAAAGAAAACAGAGGGCATTCATCCCATGCTATTAAAACCCCTAGCTCCTTAGTCAGTCTATCTATTCTCTTCATTCCTCCTTTCACAGTTTTCTTCTTCTTGTCTCTTGTATTATGGCCAGGGTTTTATAATTATATTTAGTGGGAGACAGAGAATGAAATGAGTCTTTTCAATCTTGCACAAAATCAGAAGTCTCACCTTATTTATTATAATCATTAACAAAGCCCATTCTACACAGTGGTTGTGCTTCTGGGACCCTGGACTAATGTAAAATAATACCAAGACCATTTGGCTGCAGAATCTCAGGAAATTTTACTGGTCTCATGAGGAGGCAAACAGTCTTCTACTGAGAAAAGTTTTCTCTGTTCCGAGTACAGTCATTTCCAAAACCCCTTCCCACCAATTCCACTTGGACACTAGAGACTTGTAGCTCCATCCAAGATTTGAAAACCTGTTCGTTTCAGATGGTGTTCTATGTGGAAAGAACAAAATGCAGGCATTATGCTGATGTATACCGTTTAAAATGGTCCTACTTTGGAAAACAAAGATGGGAGGAAGCATGTCAGAGTTGACATTTCCTGTCTCTTTCCTAAACTGACTTATGATTAAGTTTCTGCATGAGTAATAATTATAGATCAATAAATACTAATACAGTAAATTCAAAATAACTCTATAAGTGGGCTCCCCAAAAGTGAAGGTCTCACTACTGTAAAGTTAGTGAAATGGTGAGAGTGAGCCTTCTGTGGGAAACTGCCAATCCCCTTATATCCAAACTGTGCAAAATACAGAAATGTCACCGCAGAGATTTCACCATAATTACCACTTATCTAACACTGATATTATGTCAAGATATACACTAAAGATTTTATCCTGGGTAGAAGATTTTGCTATTCACTTTCTATAAATGAAGAAATTGGGTTTTGGGCAAGCAAGAAATCTGCCCACATCATGTAGTCTGAAAATGGAGGTGCAAAAAGAGAAAATGAGAAGATCTAGGTTCCAAACACTTGGCTTTAATCAGTACTCTATCCTGCCCCACCCCTCAAAAGAACCAGAGTATATGGCTCGTGGCCTAACACCAGGCTCCATCTCTTGAATGCGAGTAAAGTTTGCAATATGTCTCATGCTGAGTGAGACTGATCCGACAAGTGGAAGTGATTCCAGCTTGGAGGGCAAGGAAAAGACTGAGGCTTGGTGGACTCTCTCTCTAGCAGCAGGAAAACATTCTTGATAGTCTTCACTGTGTGCAATGACAGCTGTGAACTGGCCTAACTGAAACTTCACCACAGCTTGCTTTTTATTTTTTGGTTTAACTAATATTCATTAAACTCTTCGTGTGTGTAGGCACTCTTGGAATGGCTGGGACTCCACAGCTCTCATAGAGATCCAACCTGAATTGAGTAAGTCTTGGCCACAAGACAGGGTACATTTGTGAGATCCTGGACTTCTGTGAAGTATTTCAACTTTATTTGGAATCTTCATTTCTTATTCTTGGCTTCTTTTTACACTGTGAAGCCAGGCACAGATTGACAGATAGAAGGAAAATTGATGGGCCCCCAGGGGCCCCACAGACAACAAGCAACAAGCAATAGAGTCCAGCAAGCTGCTAGCTCAGTAGGGGAAACAGTTGTACTGGCAAGCTGTCTGATCATGGCCTCAGGAGGTGCTGATGGCAAGCCATAGGCCGACTGGTAGCAACAAGAAAAAGGGTAGAAAGGAGCTGAGGTTGAGAGATGCAGTTACAGAAATTACTGTGTTTGGAAATAATTAGACAAGAGTTCAGTGACATGATCGAGGGCATTCTCCCAGTATTTCCCAAGCCTCTACTCTGTGTGATGTGTTGATGTATTATGCACATTGGGGATACAGTAATAACTACATTTCCTCACCAATCAAGCTAATATAAATTTTCCTTCCTTTGGGCTCCACTAGTGCTCTTGTTCCAAGTAGTCATATGGAATTTATAATTTATCATAGTAGGCTACATGTAACAATTACTTGCACATTTTTCTTACTCTTCAGAGCTATAGTTTATTGAAAGCACAGACAGCTTTCATTTCTCTTTGCTACTCTCAATATAGAACCCAGAATAATATTTAGTTCATAGTAACAATATAATAAATGTTTGCTGAATTAAACCATAGACCCAACTTAGTCTAAGCCACCATCATCATCTCTCTACTAAGCCACTGCAAACCAGCTCCTGACTGGTCAGTCCCTGGACTTCAATTAGTGGCCCGTTTCAATTCATATTCTTTACTGCAGCCAGAGTGGTATATAAAAGGTAAAATCTACCACGTTTTTGCCTATATCCTTCAATGACTTTGACTTACAATAAAATTAAAACAATTTCATATGATCTACAAAGCCCAGTATTTTTCAAACAACTCATCATCTCCAGCCACGTTCTATGACTGTTTCCACGTTGCTGTCAAAAGTCTATCCATTCATTTATGTGTGTGTGTGTGTGTGTGTGTGTGTGTGTGTGTGTGTGTGATGGCTGTATTTTCTTCCTAGTTCTTCTTCTAATTCTCTATTTTACCACCTTTGCACATCATTTCTTGTGCATGAAATTCTTCTTCCCCATGTTTTCACCACTTCATGTCTTAACTCAAATGGCATTTCCATTGGCCTCATCTAATGTAAATTGTTTTCCTTGTTTTCTCACCATTGAACTCTAAGCCTTTTCTTCATAGCATTTAGAGCTTTTGTAATTTATACTTACTAAAGGTTTATGTATTTGATATCTCTCTAGCACATTAAACTTTGATTGCTAAATGTTTTCAAAGAATATTTCTTGAGTGAATGTATGAATGATATTCATTATCTGTTATTAAAAGACTAATCATATTTTCATACTGTACCATTCACTACAACCCAGAAATAATCCTCTCTACCTTCTGCAAAGTTTGTACACAATTGTAATGGTTTGCTCCTGTTCTATTTTGCACATAAGAGATAGCTTTACTGCTATAATCCTCTTTCCAGGAGATTCTAAGTCAGAGGTGGGCAAACTTTTTCTGTGAAGAGCCAGATACTAAATATTTTCCACTTTGCTACGTGTATGGTCTGTGTCACAACTACTCAACTCTGCTATTGTAGGGGGAAAGCAGCCATAGGCAATATGTAAATGAATGAGTGTGACTGTGTTCCAACAAAATTTATTTCCAAAACAGGCCGCAGACTGGTTTAGGCCCACAGGCTCTAGTTTGCCAACCTCTGCTCTAAATGCCTAGAAACACAGCTTTAGATAACACATCTGTAATGCCTGGGTTATCCTAACTGGCACTGACCCTTCATCACTTTTATCCCTGTCTTCTATTCTCATGATGGCAACCAAGGTGATCTTATCTAATGGCCTCCCATCTTATTCTATGCAAAATCCAAGGTCTTTGCTGTGATTTGCAAGGCTCCATCTGCCCCTCACCATTATCTCTCTGAGCTCATCTCCTATCAATCCTCCCTTCTTTCAGTCCACTCCAGCCACCCGGGCTTTGGGCCACTCCTTGAACATTTCAGGCAGTCTCCTGCTTCAGTGCCTTTGCCCTTGAGGTTTTCTCTATCAGGAATATGCTTCTCCTGAAGACATTACAGCCAGCTTCCTCCCTTCTTTCAGGCCATCTTCTAAAAGTGATCTTCATGGTGAGACCTTTCTTGGCTGCCCTATCAAAAATCCACCACTCACACCCCAGATGCTTCTAACCCCTCTGTTCTGCTTCAGTTTCAAAATTCATCAATATACAACATATTAAATAATGTGCTTATTTATGTTATTTATTGTTTGTCTTTTTCACTAGAATGTAAGTCCCATGAGGGAAGGGACTTGCTCTGCCTTGATTATTGCTGTATTCTTAATGCCTAGAACTGTGCCTGACACATAGTATACATTCAATAAATATATATTGAATGAAATAATGAATTAATGGGCCAGGCATGGTTGCTTATACCAGTAATCCCAGCACCTTCGGAGGCCAAGGCAGCCAGATCGCTTGGGCCCAGGAGTTTGAGACTAGCCTAGGCAACATGGTAAAATTCCATCTCTACAAAAAATACAAAAAAGTCTGGCATGGTTGTGCATGCCTAGAGTCCCAGCTACTTGGGAGGCTGAGGTGAGAGAATCACTTGAGCCAGGGAGGTTGAGGCTACAGTGAACTGAGATTGTGCCACTGCACTCCAGCCTGGGTGACAGAGGGAGATCCTGTCTCAAAAAACAAAAAGAAAAAATGAAAGAATGAATGAATTAATTAATTAATTAATGATCATCTCCCCCTATAGACACCTCTGTACCTGAACGAAGATACTATCACAAGTAGTTTTTTCTTTTCTTTCTCTTTTAATATTCAAGAAACTAGTCAAGCTGAAAAAAAGTTTGTACATATTGTACTCATCTTTGTGCTCAAATTAAGAATACTTCAGAGTTGCATTTTGGCCACTTCTTTCCTTCTAAACTATCTCTCTCCATTGACAGGATAGATTTGAAGGAAAGGAAATTAAGTTACAAAACCAAGACAACTTGTACCTTTTTCCCTCAATTAAATGCACACACGAAAATTTGATATTGAGAAGTTTTGCTTAAATTATCTGTGCTAACCAGACCTTCACTCTCGGGTCATCATAATGCCAAAAGCGCTCTTTTTAGAGAGCTCCAAGACAATTTATTTTATAACTTTAAATGGAAACTATTATACGAATGTATGTTTACACTTTGTAACAAAGAAAAACATCAAAATTTTTAATATTCAAAAGTGTACATGGGTTATTTATGGACATACAAAATTGGCTCAAGGTAAGATGTATTTTACAATGACCCCTCCATAGAAAAAGAAAGATTAGAACGTGAATTCATTTATATGTAATTAAAAGGAGGCCACAGTAAGAAAAATTACTTGAAATTTTTAAAATTGGTTGCTTTGTTTGAAATGGAAGTGAAAACTATTGCTAATTAATCTTCTAGTTGAACTTTTCACTAAATGTCTCCCATTTCATTATCAATTTAAATCCTCTTCATCTTTCTGGGTTCTAGAATCATTTCCTTCACGCAAACTTTCCCATTTATGCATTTCCCTGAGCTTTTATAGTTTTACCCCTGAATTTTATGCAGTACCTTGAACATAGTGGGTAGGGACAACAGATACCAAATTTCCTATTTTAAAGTGCCTTCAAAGTATCTTGAATTCTTATTTAAGTATTTCTTGAATATATGCCTTCACCCAGTGAGACTGTAAGCTCCTCAAAATAGAATGTATCTGAATCTCCCTCTCTGTAATTCCTCAAAACCCAGAGCATGTGAATGTTGAATAAATACCTGTTTAACTTGATTTTTTAAAAAGAAATATTGATGTGTATGAAACATTTAAGAATTAAAATAATGTAATTTTATAGTATTTAAAATGGAGTACATCCATAAAGTCTAGTATTGTGAGAGGGACATGAAGATGTTGATTCACCCAGAATCAGACAGGTTATTATGTGGTTGCTGTTGTTGTTGATGATGGTGATAACTCTTCAGTTCCCCAGTGTTTTTACTATACTAAGTGGGAAATATGAGTGAGGCTAGAAATATAACATAACTCTTGTTACTGACTTGCTCATACTATTTTTAAGGCATCTCCACTGAATTTACCTCAAGCTAGAAACAAATTTAGTTTGGAAGAAAGAAAGGAGAGAAGGAAGGAGAGAAAAAACTGGAGAGGAGAAAAATATCACATTTGGAAGATTATATGTGAAGACTCCTAGGATACAATAAAATCATCATCATCGTCATCATCATCATCATCACCACCAATACCATCAGAGCAATCTGAGAGTTCATTCTAGTCTAAGAACCCAGCCCTCTATTTTTTGGAGGTTAAGTATCCTCCAGGTATTTCTTTCCTCCCTGTGCTTAACAGCTGTGTGTCTGTAACCCATACTGTCTTTTCTATCTCCCACCTGACTCCTCTCATGGGAAACTAAATTGGTTTAAATCATATGGAAGCATTATAAGTACTGTTTAGTGATGAAAATAAATTGATTCCAATCATATAGGTACTTTCCTAAATACTGACTGATGAAGTTTAGATGTGCTGTAATTTATAAATAAAATGAAGGAGGTTACCTGGCAATATGTGAGAGGGAGGAACAATTATCGTGTTTGAGATTTAAAGGAAAGAGTAATGAACACTTCCCAAATAATTCTATGAGATAAATATTACCCTGATACTAAAACCAGACAAAAACATCACAAGGAAGGAAAACTACAGGTTAATAACTTTATGAACTTGAGTGTAAAAATTCTCAATAAAATACTAGCAAGCCAAATTCAATGAACAAATGAGGTTTATTTCTATTTATTTTTATTTTTTTTTATTTTTATTTTATTTTATTATTTTTTTTTTTTGAGACGGAGTCTTGCTCTGTCGCCCAGGCCGGACTGCGGACTGCAGTGGCGCAATCTCGGCTCACTGCAAGCTCCGCCTCCCAGGTTCACGCCATTCTCCTGCCTCAGCCTCCCGAGTAGCTGGGACTACAGGCGCCCGCCACCGCGCCCGGCTAATTTTTTGTATTTTTAGTAGAGACGGGGTTTCACCTTGTTAGCCAGGATGGTCTCGATCTCCTGACCTCATGATCCACCCGCCTCGGCCTCCCAAAGTGCTGGGATTACAGGCGTGAGCCACCATGCCCGGCCCAAATGAGGTTTATTTTATAAATGCAAGAGTGGTTTAACATTTGAAAATCATTAACATAATATACCATCAATAGAATTAAGGTCAAAAACCGCATGGTCATCTCAATAGACAAAGAAAGGGCATTTGACAAACTCTAACAACATTTTATGACAACAAAATAACTCTCAACAAACTAGTAATAGAAGGGAACTTGCTTAATCTGATACAGATATCCATAAAAACCCAAAGCTAATATCATATTTAATGGAGAAAGAATGAACTTAAAAGTTGTACTTCAATGAATACCATCAAGAAAGTGAAAAACAAACTCACAGAATGGGAGAAAATATTTTCAAATTATCTATCTTATAAGAGACTTGTATACAGAATATTTAAAGGACTATTACAGCTTAATAATAAAAACACAACCCAATTTCAAAGTGGACAGAAGATTCGAATAGACATTTATTCTAAGAAGATAAACAAGTGGCCAAAAGTATATTTAAAATGCTCAAAATAATTAGTTATTAAAGAAATGCAAATCAAAACCACATTGAGCACATCATATCCATTAGGATGACTAAAATCAAGAAGTAAGGCAATAACAAGTATTGATGAGGTAGGTTAGGAACTCTTTACACATTGCTGATGAAAATGTAAATGATGCAGCTCTTTTGGAAAATAGTCTGACAGTTCCTAAAAATGCTAAACTTAGTATTAGCATTTTGATTCAGTAATTCCACTGCTAGGTATATACTCAAGAGAAATGAAAATATTTATCCACACAAAACTGTACAAATGTTCATAGCAATATTATTCATAATGGCAAAAGGTAGACACAATCCAAATGTCCATCAACTGATGAATGGAAACATAAAAAGTGGTATATGCATACAATGGAATATTATTCAGCCATTAAAAAGGAAACAAGTACTGATACATGCTCCAATATGGATGAGCATTGAAAATATTTTGATAAGTGAAAGAAGTCATGAAAGTGTACATAATTGCATGATTCTATATATATGAAATGTTCAGAGTAGGCAAATATGTAGAGACAGGAAGTAGATGAGTAGTTGCTGAGGATTGGTGGGTTAGGGGATGAAGCCAGGGAATGGAGTCACTGCTAATGATACAGAAGTTCTTTCAGGTTGATGAAATGTTCTGAAATTGATTATGGCAATCATTGCACAACTTTGTAGTATACTAGAAACTTTTAAATTGTACACTTTTAATCAATGAATTGCTTGGCATTATATCACAATAAAGCTGTTAAAAACAAACGGAAGGGGTTCACTTTCCATTTCTTTTTTTCTACTTCATTTGCAAACCTTATTAGGATAACATGCAAAGTTATTTCAGCAAATACTTGCTCACTAGACTCATTTTCTGTCCCTAATAAAATGAATTCAAACTCAAGAATCTTCAACAGCTATACAACATTCCACCTATGTTATGGAGCACAATAAAGGATTACTGTTCCCACAGCCATCTCACAAATACTGTCTCATTTGGTGTCCATCAGGGGAAATATTTGTATTCAATCTGTCAAAAACATGTCCTAAGCACCTGTGATAATTATAGTACAGTGAAAACTCAGGTATTTGGGAAAAAAGAGACATCAGATGTTATTTCATGGAGTTGGCAAAATAAGTGAAAGGGCAAGACCAAGATAGGAGCAACTAAGAAATATCTAACTATGCATTACATGGGAAAATTCCTGTGAGAATCCCAGGAGTTGTGGCGGATGTGATATTTTATAGACTTGCTATTGGAAGAAGAGTTTCTCCTAGACCTGTATCTGCTTTAGTATCTATCCCTTGCCTCTGGTAGGAGCAAATACTTTTCCACTTATGGATACTTCTAGTCTTCTCCCTGAAGGAAGAGTGTAAGAGGAAAGCCTTCCATTTCTTCATGAAAACCAATCACTGGATTTTTCTCCAGGGAGAGCATGACCCCTCTCATTGGAGAAACAGAGGGAATCTGACACCTAATGTCCCCAAAACCAGCAGGGACCTAAAAAGAAAGGACACTTGCTTCTCTTCTTCTTCTCTCTTTTCTTCTTTCCCCTTCTCTCTCTTTCCTTTGTTCTTACACCTTTTCATTTTCTCACGGGTGGCATGACCTCTCTCCTCTTGCAAGGGATTCGTGTCTCTCTGAAGTGACTTTGCCTTTAAATAGAAGTCGTCTACATCAAGTTGGGAGGTAGAAGTATCCTCCTATCTAGTTTACCACAAGCAAACTGATCAACTCATTGCTGCTTAGCTCAGGTCTTTGTGTTTACTTTATTTACAAGAATCCTTGAAAAAATGTGAGTGGTATCATGTAAACATTTAATTGTTGCTGAATTTCCAGCATTACTCATAAGATTGTCTTTTGCTGGCCCCATGCTTTCATTCTTGTTCAATAAGTAAAGTTCCTAAACACAGTATATGTTTAACAGTTTTGACTAATTACTGTGTATGGGAAATCACTGAGAAGCACAGGATCGGGTCTAATAATGGAAGTGGTGCTTTTTATGCAGAAATTTAAAAATTAATATTACACAACAAGTCTCTGGAGGTTACCCAAAATTTTAGAGACAGGATTATGATAGTTTAAAATGCAGTTTTTAGAATATAGAATGATGTTTTGAAAGGATGAAATGATGGCTGGGTGCAGTGGCTCACGCCTGTAATCCCAGCACTTTGGGAGGCCGAGGCAGGTGGATCATGAGGTCAGGATATCGAGACCATCCTGGCTAACACGGTGAAACTCCGTCTCTACTAAAAATACAAAAAATTAGCCGGGTGTGGTGGCACACGCCTGTAGTCCCAGCTACTCGGGAGGCTGCGGCAGGAGAATTGCTTGAACCCAAGAGGCAGAGGGTGCAGTGAGCCAAGATAGTGCCACTGCACTCCAGCCTGGGCAACAAAGCGACTCTGTCTCAAAAAAAAAAAAAAAAAAAAAAAAGAAAGAAAGAAAAAAGAAAGGATGAAATGATAACAGATATAGAATAAAAAACCGCAGCTTCAATGTGGTATATTTATGGCATGTCTATTAAGTTAGAGATGTACTCTCACTAGTCATCACATAGATATTGTGTGGCAATCCATCATCTCAATAAATCAACTCTCCTCCTTGCTAGGCTTTTTGTAGTAGAGAATACATCAAAGAAGCTAAATAAGAGTTAAGCTGTCATCCTTATAAATAAAAGCACAGTGTTGCCCAAAGTCCTTGGTAAAGCTGGAATAGAGACCTTATCTGGGACCAGAAGCCAATGTAGGAATCTCCACCTAACAAATCCAAAATCTAGATTTTCTTCCTTCACCTGAAGGGAGAATTAGGTCTTAATGACATCTCCCTCCCCAGGATTTACTTAGCAGCCAAGTACATGGAGGACTGTGGTTTGCCTCATAAATTCAGTTGCTGTTGGAGACAGAATGCCAGAGACCAATGTTAAGAGACGGGTGACTGGTATCCTTTTACAAAACAAGTCCAGGACTGCGTCATGCATGGAATGAGAAAGCTGAGAGCAAGCCTTGGCGCTTCTTACTTGTCTGTTATACAAGTAGTGCAGGAGAGAGAAATGAGATTCCACTTACTTACTGTTTTAGAGGAATAGCAGCCAACCTATTGATAAATTGCAGCAAGTGTTATCAGACTCTCATCATCAGGTCAGCAGTTCCCAGTGCTTGGAGAAGAATAGTTAAAGAGTGAAAAGAAGGAGTAGAAATGTTCTCTTTAACACTACCCAAATGAAAGTGGAGTAGGGGTCCCCAGTTCATGGAAACATAAGAAGTAGGGAACGATCATCTCCACCTCAAAATACTAGAACACCAGAAAACACGGGAGCTCAGAGGCACACATTCATTCCTCAATTTTACAAAAAAAACTAATATTTACTGAGTGCCAGGTACTGACATAGGAAAAGATGATACAGTAATGATGGCAAGACACAGTCATTGCCCTCAAGACTGATCCTCAAGGAGATCAGTCTCCTTACACTGGAGTAAGAGTCTGACGATTTGGGTTTTGGTCGTGTCTACCAAAAGAACTCTGTACATTTGCATGTCTCTGATTCTTCCAAGCCTCCATTTCTTAACCATTAAATGAGAGGAGAGTGTAATATGCCTGCCTCACAGAGAGTTAATGGGATTCAGATACAGCGGTGTTCTCCATGGTCCCTTTGTGTACATCTCCCCATTTAGTGGGTCCTTCCTTTGTACCTATCCTACTTTATCAATACCTTAGGAAAGAATATGAAAAACTCATTCACCCAAAGAAATAAAAAACTACTGTGCTTATAAAGTGAGTCTTCTCAGGAGTATTTACATTTTCATGGAAGATTAACTCCTAAAATTGAATATGGAAAATAATTTTCATGTATACATTTCCATGTAGTAACATCTTTTCTCAGCATTGAAGCGGCAGGCAACTCCACTAGCAAATCAAAATAACCCTTCTTCATGGAAAACAGCAATGTGGCAGAGAAAACCTATTTTTTTAAAGCATTTATTAGTTCATTCATAGACTCAGTAAACTTATCCAAAAAGAATTGTTAGGATACTCTGCCTCATAAGAGAGAAACGGGTTTCTTTCCTTTGAGGACCTCCACCGTTGGTGAAGACAGAATTTGTACAGTACTGACTGGACCACATTTGTCACAGAAATCATCTCAATCATCACATTAGAAGACAGTGTCACTACCCACTACAGTACAGAAAATGAAAGAAGTATAACAATTCACAGCAGGTAAATGTTCATCTCTCTGCCATCTTCCTTAACTGTAGTTAAGAGATGATCACAGGGGTTATCATCTACTTCTCCCCAAAACCTCAGTCTGCTTTTGAGCTTAACAAGTTTATCTACAAAACATCTTAGCACTAGATTCAAAAGTATTTGTTTAGTGCCCACTATCCGCATGACACTGCTAGGTGCTGAGGGGCAAATCAAAGGCACAGGCTTTGGTTTCAAGGCATTTTCATTGCTATATGATACTCCAAATGGAATCCTATGCAGACATCATCTGAGTAAAAGTTAAAGTAATGAGATGATTGACCTGGAGTAGAAGGAACATACCATGCTACTATCTCCAGTATTCGAAGTATGGGTATGTGGCAAAATACTTGGCATACGAGGATACAACTGGGAGCAAATTTTGGAAATTTAAGATGATGAATTCCAACTCTAAATATGGAAGAACTTTCCAAATTCTAGAAAATATCTGTGCAACTTATGTACTTGTTGGGCACGTGGAAGGAGGATACATATGTTAGAGAAAAAGTTGAATGTGCTCTCATGTAGCACCATGATTATGCATATGGTAGGTGTTTAATTAATATCTGCTGATTAGTTGTTTGATTTATTTGAAAGGCAGGCTATCTTATTGAAGATTCCCATGTCAATGTTAACTAATCTACCTCTTGAGAAATCTCAGTGAGTATCAAAGAGATAAATTTTACAAGCTGCTAACATGCTTTTATCAGCTCATTATTTAAAATTTCTGAAACCTAGGTTGTTGTCAGTCAATTATAAGTGAATATGGTCTGAAAAGAAACAATGTGGACCTGTTTTATTTTGTTCTGTAACTACTGAAAAAAACCCTAGAGTTTTTATATAGGTTTAGAAACCTTCAGATCATTTGTCTAAACTTTCTGGTAGTCACGTGGCCAAGCTCATCTTTCCCTGGGGTCCAGTTAGCTATTTTATCATCTTAGCTGTCTGCATGGGTCTTCATTTGACTGTTTTTATTATTGTTTCTTTTTTTTTCTTTTTTGAGACAGAATCTCACTCTGTCGCCGAGGCTGGAGTGGAGTGGCACAATCTCAGCTCACTGCAACCTCCATCTCATGGGTTCAAGCGATTCTCCTGCCTCAGCCTCCCCCAGTAGCTGGGATTACAGGCATGCACCACCATGCCCAGATAATTTTTTTGTATTTTTAGTGGAGACGAGGTTTCACCATGTTGGCCAGGGTGGACTTAAACTCCTGACCTCAGATGATCCACCTGCCTCAGCCTCCCAAAGTGCTGGGATTACAAGCATGAGCTACCACACCCAGCCCTTATTATTCTTTCTTGATGAATCTTTGCCTAATGCAAATGAGCAGGACGAAGTCCATGGACATTATCAAGATGGAAAGAAAGAATAAAATTTATCACAAGAGAGCAATAAATGTTCTGGCATGTTATCATGATTGACTTCATTTCTACTGATAGCTTCAAGAATGAATCTTAGAAATGTATTTTGATATACTGTGAGTATATAGCCAAGACCCCAAATGAATGTTCATCCATAAATAAAAATGATGGCTAACATTTATTGAATGTTTAGTAAGTGCCAAGGGCACATTATACAGATTATCTCGTTTACTGTTCTCAGCAACACAGTAAGATAGGAGTTTGCATTCTTTGTCTTGCATATGAGGAAGACTACATGGAGCAGTTTCTTGTTGAAGGTTATCTAGTTGGGAAGTAACACAGATGGGGACTGAACCTGGCATAAAAACCAGAGCTGGTGCTCCAGACCCCTCTGCCGTGTTGCTATCTTCCCCACCTGCTATCCTCAATTCCCTGACTTCAAGAATTAACATCAAATATTTTTTGAAAGAACTTCTGTTTATAAATTTATGTTGTAATAAGGCCAAGGCTAAGCTGTGGACTGCTGAAAGGGGACTGATTGCAGCAAACTGTGGTGAGAAGAGGGCCTTTTCCATTTGAAAGGAAGCCTGTACTGTACTCATCAGGAATAAGTTCAATTGACTCCTGCTCCTGCCATTTCTGAGAGAGTCCTCTGGCAAGGGTCTTCCTGCCCCATGGGCTGATAGAACTCAGCTGGCTGCCCAGCAACTCAACCGTGTTCTCCTCCTGAGTGTGAATGGTTTGCTGTTATTTGCAGAATAAATTAGAGATGAGAAAGCTCTTTTTCAGCTTCACCCTACCAAATGAAAACAACTCAGCTTATTCTGAATAAGAACATACATATAAGGAATGCCTCAATTAGTTTAATCCAATTAACTAAACCCTTTGTTAATCAGCATTTTTCCACAATTAACTTCTAAAGACAAAAAAGACAAATTTCAAAATAATCAGAGAAGAAAACTTTAAAACTCTGCTCTAGGCCTGGTACACATTCAACTTAAATTCCTATGCTGCTACAACTATATAATATTACTCAGTAATAGTTAACATTTAAGGGAGCACAGTAATTGTGTACCAGATATTTGTACTAAGGGACTCATGTATCTGTGTTTCATTTAACACAGCAAGTCTTTGAAGCAGATACTGTTATTCTCTCCATTTTGCAGGTTAGCAAATCGAGCCATGGAGTAGTTCATTTGTCCATCTAATAGATGGTAGTGAAGAAATGTAAACCCACATAGCCTGATGCCTTGACTCATATACCATATTGCCTCTTGATTATTAATGCATGATAAAATGATGACTCCAAAGTATATTATTCAATATATGGAGCCAGAACTGGGACCAAAATGCCTGACTCCACAGTGCATCTTTTTAGTTGCTACACATACAACCTTTTCTTTTTGTCAGGACTAGATACAGAAGAGGAACAAAAGTCTAACACATTTTAGAAAAATCTCTACAACCTGGTCGTTGTGGCTCGCGCCTGTAATCCCAGTACTTTGGGAGGCTGAGGTGGACAGATCATGAGGTCAAGAGATAGAAACCATCCTGGTCAACATGGTGAAACCCCATCTCTACTAAAAATACAAAAATTAGCTGGGCGTGGTGGCACACGCCTGTAGTCCCAGCTACTCGGGAGGCTGAGGCAGGAAAATCGCTTGAACCCGGGAGGCAGAGGTTGCAGTGAGCCAAGATCGCACCACTGCACTCCACCCTGGTGACAGAGCGAGAGTCCATCTCAAAAAAAATAAAAAGATCTCTAATAAAGTTAATCAACCAATCAGAGTTGAATCAAAAAGGAAGTTCTGGTTGATTAATTTAATGACTATTCCAATGATCAGAATCATCCCATTCCTGAACTTTTGGGTTAACTGGTTTTCCATTGGCTTCAGGGCATTCTGTTCAGAAAAAAATCCAGCTGTGGAATGTTTTTATTTCATCTTCATTGGGAAGAAAGGCCACAAAACATTCAGGGATGCCCCTTAAAACTTGTCCTTTGAAGCATTATGCTTTTATCAAGCATCTGTGCTACAGCTTTGAAGATTTTTCTCTTGAATCATATTTAGTAGAAATCAAAGCTGTGCATAATCTAAGTTTGCAAAGTAAGAGTCCTTCCATTTCATAAATACATCCTAATGATTGAATCAGACATTTTAAAAACATTCTCCAGCTTTTGCTATTGTAAAAATCCTAAGTCAGCATCCATTTTACTCTTTATAGGATAAAAGATCTCCAGAGCTTGCAATTAATGAACTGTTAAATTCAGGCATATGGATGTGATATGGTTTTCAAATGGGACAAAAAGAAGTTATTAAACTTTAAAGTGATGACATTTTACCATATCTTACCGGGCAGCACTCAGGAAATGTCCTTCAAATGAAAGAATTAATTTTTATTCCCTAAATGATCCCTCAACAAATGATAAGATTGTCATAATTGTTATTTCTGCAAGTTCTTGTATTTATTATTTTCTTTTTTATTCTAGGTCTTAATTTTTAAAGTATATGCTTGTATTTAGTTTATAAACTACCAATTCCTTCCTCTTGACCATTGTAAGATTTTCAGCCCCACTCCAGATTATTCCATTCATTGCTCTTCTCTGCCTAAAGCAATGAATTTTTAGTTCCACATGGCTCCTCCTCCCTCCTCCTATGTTAATATTCATGTTATCATCTTCTCAAAATAACTTCCCACTTCTCATATGCCCAACTGGCATTCTCTTTTCAGTGATAACACAACTAACATATTACCAGGAAGCCATCCCTTTTAGTGGTGGCATGGTTTGGATATTCAAATCCTTCTGGGCTTAACTCTCACCCAATGTTCCTGTTATAACTCCTATACTCAAATGAAACTTACTTATAAATCAGCAATGACAACAAAAGTTTTAGTGCATTTTATTTTCCAAAAATATTTGTTATAAAATACCAGCATCCTCCAGCCAGACCACCAAGAATACTACTATCATTGAACACATTTAGGTTTATTGACTAATTACAATGAGGAAAAACCCACGCCATCGGGGACCATGGAGTATTTTAGGAAGAAGGTATTAAAATGGACTTATATGACTGTTGCAAATGTTAGATGATTTGGAAGAGAATTCAAGGGAGCATGGTTGTTTACTGTCAAGAAGAGAGGGTAGTTCTATGACTGGTTATCTTAATAATAGTTATCTTAGTAATTATTATACCTAGATGGAGAAAATACTAGAGTAAGGGTAAGCCGTGATTGGTAAAGGAGGGCCAATTACCACTACCACTTTTGAAAGGAAGAGATTTAGTCCATTTTACGTTTTGGGCAATGTTTGTGTTTTTTTCAGATTTGGTTCTGATTATGGAGGGGTCTCGTTTTGTCTCGGTTCATGCCGGTCACAGAATGGCCTTGTCTGATGCTGTTTTGCGAGGTTGTCTGTGGTCGAGAAGATAACACTCAACACAGCTGGGAGTGCCAGAACAACTCCTGGCAGCACCATGGCCTACTTGACAGCACCCAGCCCTCAGAGGCTGCATTTCTTTCCTCAATCTTTTTTTTTTTTTTTTTTTTTTGAGACACAGTCTCACTCTGTCACCCAGACTGGAGTGCAGTGGCATGGTTTCAGCTCACTGCAACCTCCACCTCCCAGGTTCAAGCAATCCTCCCACTTCAGCCTCCCAAGTAGCTGGGATTACAGGCATGCGCCACCACACTCAGTTAATTTTTTGTACTTTTTTTTTTTTTTTTTAGTTGATGCAAGATCTCACCATGTTGGCCAAGCTGGTCTCAAACTCCTGACCTCAAGTGATCCACCAGCCTCAGCCCCCCAAAGTGCTGGGATTACAGGTGTGAGCCACAGTGAACGGCCCATATTCATTTTCGAAAACTTGAAAAGCATGGAAGGTACAGAGAAAAAAATTGAAAACTTCCTGATAGTGGCTATTTAGCAGGGAAAGAGAGAGAGCAGGAAAGCAAGCCATCCTGTGTGTGCTGGCTCTGCAGTGGTGCTTCATCTTTTGGCAGCACCAAGGCCCTGCAGCAAGGAAAGCTGAAAAGAGAGCTCCGGGAATCCCCCCCCTTACAAAGCCAACTCAGCTGGGGCAGTAAAGACATCAGTAACCAAGCTGCATTCAGAAGTTGGCATTCCAAGTCCAACAATTTGGAACGTTCTCCATGACAGTCGTCCTGCAGTTGGCAGCACTGTGCTTTTCCATTCAATGTAGCACTTACTGTGTTCCAAGCACATGTACTAACTTATCTAAAACGCCTAACAATCCCATGAGGTACATCTCACTGTCACCCTTTTTTACAGATGAGGAAACAGATACGTGGAGGCTTACAAAAACGGCCTGAGGTCACAGATCTCAGAAGTAGGAGATATGGGATTTAAACACAAGCAGTCTGTTCTGGGGGAATTTGCTACTAACTACAATATCAAATCGTGTTAATTACCAAGTTTGGCCCACTTTGAGTATGAAAATCTTGACTGCAATTGTCAAGAAGTTTTAGGGCATCCCCATCTCCCATCTCTATTGCTATTTCTCTTCTCACTTTTTCTCTCCATATATATATATAATATATATAAAAACATACAAATTTAGGTGTATTGACAAATATACATATATACACACACAGACACACATGCATACATAAACACACACACATATACTATATATGCATATATGTGTGTATACGTATGTGATATGGGTGTATATCTGTATATATGCACAAACACACACACACACACATATATATATATACACACATACACTGGATCTTTAAGTTTTTTATACTACATAGAACTACAAAATAAATTCTGGATATTAGCCCTTTGTCAGATGAGTAGGTTGCGAAAATTTTCTCCCATTTTATAGGCTGCCTGTTCACTCTGATGGTAGTTTATTTTGCTGTGCAGAAGCTCTTTAGTTTAATTAGATCCCATTTGTCAATTTTGTCTTTTGTTGCCATTGCTTTTGGTGTTTTAGACATGAAGTCCTTGCCCATGCCTATGTCTTGAATGGTAATGCCTAGGTTTTCTTCTAGGGTTTTTATGGTTTTAGGTCTAACATTTAAGTCTTTAATCCATCTTGAATTGATTTTAGTATAAGGTGTAAGGAAGGGATCCAGTTTCGGCTTTCTACATATGGCTAGCCAGTTTTCCCAGCACCATTTATTAAATAGGGAATCCTTTCCCCATTGCTTGTTTTTCTCAGGTTTGTCAAAGATCAGATAGTTGTAGATAATATCCAGAATCTACAATGAACTCAAACAAATTTACAAGAAAAAAACAACCCCATCAAAAAGTGGGTGAAGGACATGAACAGACACTTCTCAAAAGAAGACATTTATGCAGCCAAAAAACACATGAAAAAATGCTCATCATCACTGGCCATCAGAGAAATGCAAATTAAAACCACAATGAGATACCATCTCACACCAGTTAGAATGGCAATCATTAAAAAGTCAGGAAACAACAGGTGCTGGAGAGGATGTGGAGAAATAGGAACACTTTTACACTGTTGGTGGGACTGTAAACTAGTTCAACCATTGTGGAAGTCAGTGTGGCGATTCCTCAGGGATCTAGAACTGGAAATACCATTTGACCCAGCCATCCCATTACTGGGTATACACCCAAAGGACTATAAATCATGCTGCTATAAAGACACATGCACACGTATGTTTATTGCGGCATTATTCACAATAGCAAAGACTTGGAACCAACCCAAATGTCCAACAATGATAGACTGGATTAAGAAAATGTGGCACATATACACCATGGAATACTATGCAGCCATAAAAAATGATGAGTTCATGTCCTTTGTAGGGACATGGATGAAATTGGAAATCATCATTCTCAGTAAACTATCGCAAGAACAAAAAACCAAACACCGCATATTCTCACTCATAGGTGGGAATTGAACAATGAGATCACATGGACACAGGAAGGGGAATATCACACTCTGGGGACTGTTGTGGGGTGGGGGGAGGGGAGAGGGATAGCATTGGGAGATATACCTAATGCTAGATGACGAGTTAGTGGGTGCAGTGCACCAGCATGGCACATGTATACATATGTATCTAACCTGCACAATGTGCACATGTACCCTAAAACTTAAAGTATAATAATAATAAAACAAAAACAAAAACAAACAAACAAACAAAAAACTACAAAATAAATTGTCAAAATGACTGAATGCAAACTCTGGATGAGACTATATGTCTTTTATCTATACACTAAGATATATATATAAAATATACAACTGCTCTGAAAATTATACAATGAGAATCTGCTACTAAGTTTTATTTTTTCTTATTAGAGACCTAATAAAATCCTGTAACCTCCTGAGTGCTAAGGACTGAGTGTCTGTTCATGCTCATAATTATTTCCTCTTTTCTTTGCAATATTCTGCTCCTTTTCCCATCTACTCTTTTTTTTGGGGACTGAGTCTCGCGCTGTCGCCCAGGCTGGAGTGCAGTGGCGCTATCTTGGCTCACTGCAAGCTCCGCCTCTCGGGTTCACCCCATTCTCCTGCCTCAGCCTCCCAAGTAGCTGGGACTATAGGCGCCCACCACCACACCCGGCTAATTTTTTGTATTTTTAGTAGAGACGGGGTTTCACCATGTTAGCCAGGATGGTCTCGATCTCCTCACCTTGTGATCCACCTGCCTCGGCCTCCCAAAGTACTGGGATTACAGGCTTGATCCACCATGCCCGTCCCTACTCTCTGCTCTTTACTCTGACTCATTCTGTACTGGGATGGGAATATTTCAAGTGAAGTCACTTCTTGCTTAAGGACAAGATAAAGCGAGGCCCTCCCTCATTGAACAACATTATCAAAGGTTTCCAGGTAAAACCATCATACATGTCCCTGGCAGTAGCAGCTTAGAGAATTCCTGTTAAACACCCCCTACCCTTTGTGGGCTATATAAGAACCAAGAGGTAGAAGCTTTGGCCATTGTATAAATTGAGCAACCTTTGGGGCTTGATAATCATCTATTTACTTTAGATGATACTAAATTAGAAGCAGTCAGTATACAAATACACACTGATCATCACCTCAAGACTAGACATTATGGGGATTAGAAAATATCTAAAGAGTTCATCATCTCTCAGGCAAAAGGAGTGTCTTATGAACCTGTTTCTACCCTGTCAAAGAACAACATAGAACAAGTAATTTCATTTCATATTCCATTCTCTGTTAGATATCCATAATCCTGAACCAGCCAAATTAATGAATAATATGCTAATTTCCCAATTAGGTATAATTGACATCTATTTCCACCTCTGTCAATGTGAACTGAACAGAGGAGGAAATGGGAGAAAAATTCAGAATCACTGGGTGACACTCAGCAAGTTTCCTTCTCAGTAAAATGAGGCAAATAATATCTATTTCACAAAACCCATTGCTGAATATAGGGCTGTTAATAATAATTATTGTAAGAACTAATGATAAATAGTAACATTTATTATTATTAAAGTTATAATTTATATTTAATTCCTCAATAAATTTTATAAGTTATATAAAATAATTCTATTAAAAATGTATAGAGTAAATTACATAAAATATATTAAATATAAATTAATATATTTATATAGATTATACCTATTATTGTTAATCTAGTAAGTATCATTACAATAATAACTATTACAAGAAGAATGTGTTCAAATATCTTTAAAATTTCTACATGTAGATCATGGCCAATTCAGTTTTAAAAACATTTATTGAGCATTTACCATAAGCCAATAATTAATATACAAAAGTGAAAAAGGCAAGTGCCTAACCTGGCCAGTGAAGAGTTTCTGGACTGGCTAAAAGATGGGCCCACCAACGGGCAATCTCAGTCTAGCGTATAGTAAGTACTGTGATTTGGGTTGGAATACAGGGCAGAGATGTCTAAGTTGGTGGAATGCGGGTGAGTAGGGCAAGCGGAAAGTGTTAGAGATCACGCATGTTCGAGTGGTGAGATTATGCTTGAGAACATGCTAAGTAGGAATCAGCCAGCTAAAGAGAAGGAACAATGGATAAATGATCCCACATAATGCCAAAGAAGTGAACAATAACTTAAAATACTGATGTATTATCCAGACTTTTTTGCATCTGCTTTGCTGGACTGAGTTTTCAGTTGATTGTGGTTTTATTTTTTTTATTCATTATTCATTCATTTAGTTGGCATTGGGATGTCACGATCGGGGGTGATTTTCACAAACACAATTATTGAAAGTGTAGCTAACCAAATGAAGAAATAACTTCTAAGGGAAAGTAGTAAGCTTTCTTTGGAACAGGTCATAAAAAGGAGTATTTTTTTTTAACCTCTATTTCTTACGTCTCTCATATCGGTGTCAAGCTTTCATATCTTGATTAGCATGTTCAAGTGAAAAGGAAAACCCACCAGTATGTCTTCTGAAGGCAAATGAGAATTCTAATTCTGCTGATTAAAATAAACTAGAAACCCACAGATCATGCTTATTAAAGCAACATAGCAAAGAAAAACTCAGTAGAGAGCATTAATTGAGTCAGTTACAATTAGTTCCAATTGAATTTCATCCTCGTTAAAAGTATTTTCTTTGGAATTGTAGGTTTTGGAGAGATTGAGTGTAGGATTAAAATGGCAACTGTAAAAATGATATTGGATTTATAGAACAACATTGCTCTGGGAAAAAAAAAAAAAAAAATCTTGCCATCGCCGTGGCTCGCGCCTATAATCCCAGCACTTTGGGAGGCCGAGGCGGGCAGATTACTTGAGGTCGGGAGTTTGAGACCAGCCTGGCCAATGTGGCAAAACCCATCTCTACTGAAAATACAAAAATCAGCCAGGTGTGGTGGCAGGTGCCTGTAATCTCAGTTACTCAGGAGGCTAAGGCTGGAGAATTACTTGAACCCGGGAGGCAGAGGTAGCAGGGAGCTGAGATCTCGCCACCGCACTATGGCCTGGGTGAAAGAGTGAGACTCCGTCTCAAAAAAAAGAAAAAAGAAAAACTTCTCTTTAGGCCTAACTACGTCACCAGAGAGTTTTCCTACAGCAATGTTAGATGCAATTACAATATGGAAGCTTACATTAGAAGAGTAGGAGTTTGGAAAAAATGTTCTTAAAGGAAGGCTGGAGCTGTTTCTCAGAGAAGAACCATCTTACTTTAGAAGTCATCTTTATTTGTTGGAGAATGATTACTAGAAGCTCAAACGGAATTATAACCAGTTCTGAGTGCTCCCCACCTCACTGAGGACTGGTATCAGTTTTGTTTGGTAACAATAATTTTTTTTTAATTTAAAAACACTTAAATATTCACTCTGGCAGACCTGCACGACCATGACCATGAAGAACCTTCATGATCTTTATCTTTTTCATGTGGCTCAATTGCAAATAGCAGAACTTACCAAATCATTGTTAAATGGGGGCATGTTAGCAAGCTGCCATGTAGGTTTTCCTTATTGTTACACCATGCTTCTAATTGCTTTCATTTGGAAAGAGAGCTCCCCATCAGCATCCCATCAGACTTGTGGAGTACTCAATACACACACACACCCCCTTATTATTTCTATTCATCTCCCTCCTTGAATTTTTCTCCCAGTTTTTCCTCTGTCCAACTCTTTTTTACCCTTAAGAACTCTCTCTTTTATTTCAAAAAACTGTGCTAAAGGAAATATTAGTCATCTAATAATGTCCCGAGTGAGTTACTTATTATATTAATCTAATGCAGTGTGCAAATATATACTAATGTAATTCAGGGAAATCATGACCAAAGTGTGGCAGTCAGATTTTGGAACATAAATCAAAAATATACTGTGGACAATAGTATACCAGCTCGCTATAGCAGTGAGCTAATCTCTACTGAGGGAAAAAAAATAACAATTATAAACTTTAAACACACAACTACCTCTTCATAGTTTACAGGGGTTTTTGTCTCTATTCATGTTATCCCATCAGCCTAAACTGTCATTAACATCATCCTCTGCCTAAACCTTTTGAAGCTTTCCCTGATCCCTCAGGAAGAATCAGCCGCATTTTCATGGTACACAGCATACAGCCCTACTTAGTAAGAACAAAATTCCTCTTTATATATTAGGTAACTGCATGTAAAACAAGTCCAGAACTTGAATGGAGTTGTTCTTAAAACAAGCAGTGGCCTCAGGTGAGAATTAAAGATTTTGGTGGGAAAATGGGACAGACTCAAAGAACAGTTAGGACTGGGTACTGGGAAATAATATAATGTAGTTCCAATCATCATTCAGTGGGGCATGTCACATTTATATGTGATCCATGCATCACCTGAATTGGTGGGCCACCAGTGTCTTTGGGGTGGACACTGGTGCATCAGTTTGAGGTGGATTACTTGAATTGGATTAAGAATCTCTGAGTAAGGGTGGAACTGCAGGGAATAAAATACTATTAGAAAAAGCTAAAGAGAAAATTGGGGCTTCTTTCAAGAGAGCAGATGCTCGAAAAATGGTTCCAGCCTCAGAATGGAAACCAAAGTGAAAAGTAAGAAACAAAGACAGAAAACACTGCAGAAATTGGAAAACAGACTCTCCATGGTTGATTGGCATCTGGACAGAGTTGCAAGAGTAATCCTAAATTCTAATTTTTGGTTGGTAGCAATCCAGTTCTTTGAATTAGTTATATAGGTAGTTACCTATCTGAACAGATGGGTAGATACATAAATGAATATATACATACATACATACACACACACACACACACACATACATACATAAGCTTGGAAGATAAATAAACAAATGACTGGAATAAATTCTTGAAGTTGTTAACAGCAGTTTTCTGTGTTACGGGATTCTGGAATAATTTGTTTCACCACTATTTTTCATCTTTCCCAAATTTTCCATGGAAATGTATCCTGATTTTATAATCAGAAACAGATAATTAAGTATGTGTGTGTATGAGTGAGTATATTATTTCTTTTTCTTTTGACTAAACCAATAATTTTCAATTGAAGCCAAATTTGCCCCACAGGCAACATTTGACAATGTCTGAAGAAATATTTGGTTGTTATAACTGTGGGGTGTGCATCTGGCATCTAGTGGGTAGTGGAATGGTGCTAAACATCCTCCAAAGTTCATGACAGTCCCCGACAATAAAGAATTATCCAGCCCAAAGTGTCAATAGTGCCCAGTTGGGAAACCCTGGATTAAACAAATAAAACTTTTATTAAACTTTTATCTCTCCATACAATTAATTCCATTGATACTATACACAGTTATTTCATATTAATTAATTAAAGTTATTTTAAAGTCTAAAATCCTAGTAATATCTAGCATTTTAATAAATATAGACATTCTAAATGCATTAGCAGGAACTTAAAATAAATAATTATGCTGTTTTCACAGTAGTATATTTTCTCATTATACGACAATAGAAGTAACATCTACAAAAAGAAAACTCACTCTGACATATTCTCTTCTTTATTCATGCTCTTGCTTCTTTATTTTTAGAGAAGTATTGATGGCTTTGTTACAAGTGCCAATATAATTTTTTAGGTATATATCCCTATTTTTAAAGCAGTTGCATTAGAAGCTATAATCTTGGTCTCAGAATTACTTAAGTGAAAATGACTTTCTGGACAGTTGTTGAAAAAGATTGTGTTCCTTGTTTACCCTTATATCTTATATATCGGCTAGCAAAAGTTATTATATAACAAACTCTAAATAAATATATATTGCATTGAATGAAAGTAAATAGTATATAGCTCTTCTGGATACAATCGATATTTATATAGGTACAAAGATGTATAATAAATTTTAGAATAAGTAATAAAAAGATCTATTTTTGGACCCATCTAGAATCAAGAATTATAGTTTATTTAATTCAAAAAGAAGTTAATGGGCATCTTTTGGGCATCTATCACTTTACCAGATGTCCTGCAGAGTATAAAAGTAAGATAAAATGCATTCCCTAGCCATGAAGAATTTGCAATCCAACCAAGAGATAGAACATATCTTGAGAAAACCATTTAATTCCAGAGCAAAACAGCACATGGTTGTGGGCCAAAATGAGTGACTAGTTAGGGCAATAAAAATTTAAGGAATATATATATATATATCACTGGAATCATTAGAAATGGATTCATAGCAAATAGGAGACTTTAACTGACCCTTAACAGACCAATGAATAGAATTTTAATATGACCAGAATTGAGGAAAGTATTTTAAGGGACAGAAAATAACATAAACAAAGCTAAGAAGATAAGACTAATGAGGAACATGCACACAGGGCAGTGAAAGAGTTACCTTGACTGGAGCAGGCAATACATTTGAACTGCTAGAAAATGGGCAGATTATTGTGACAGTCAAATGAGTGAATATCAGTAGGAAAATCCTATAAAATATCTAAACATATGAGTGGGATAAAACACGCCATCTCCAAACAAAGTTTGGAAATTGTATTTTCAGTCTCGACCACATTTAAAGTGATTACCTAATCTAATATGGTTTAGTATCATCTTCCTACACCTACAGGCCTTTGTACTACATAAAGCAAAAATCTGGCCTACATAGTGTACCTAATGTTCCATAAAAATGACCACTATCAAAGGCAAGCCAAATTTAGCTGTAGCTCTATGTAGCCTTTCCCCACCTTGTGACTACAAAGATAGCAGGAGTCCTCATTTCTGAAGAGAGATGCTCTCATTAAAGAATTATTTTAATTACCTTAACCCTTATTCTAACATTGTATTTTAGTCAAGGGAATAATAGAGCAAGTACTGTATTCTGTCTCTTCAAGGAGTTTTGCCGAAGATAGGAATGAACAATTAACATTGTTAAGAATCATTAGACTAAATGTAATACACATATGTTGAGCTCCTGATAAAATGCAAGAAGGAACAGTTCATGACCTCCAAATGAAAAAAACGTGCCTTTTCCTAAATGCAGTTTACACGAACCTTTCTACTTGTTATGATAAACTCATCTTTCCTGATTGGAGACCCGTAAGAGACAGCTTTGAAGAATAAATAGGCTTTACATTAGCGGTAAAAAGAATTCCAATGCCTAGCTTCCTTTAGTAGCTATTAATAATTGATAAAAACTACCAAAAGTTTGGCCAATGTGTCTTTAAAAATCAAATATTTGCATTATATACATTTAAGTCTGTAAATACTATAGTCAAATTAACTATGAAGCAAGAATTCTTAGATCATCTTAAAAGAGGTTTTGGTAAATGTTAACTGACCTAGGAAACATTGTTGGTTAGGAATGGATTCAGCTGCAAGTAACAGCGTTACCTACAATGGCTTAGCCAAGATTTGGTTTTCTTAGAAGAGAATTCCAAAAGGAGGCAGACAAGATCTCATCCCAGTGGCTTCATTATACTATTTCAAACAAAATGCCCTCTGGTTTTCTAACAAGCATCCTTAGATGACCTTCAGTTACATTGCATTGTCCAGAACTATGTCACATGAAACACCTCTAGTTGAAAACTAGGCTGGGAAATAATATTTTCAAGTATGTACATTGTAGTCTCAAATAAAAGAAAGGGAGGAATTATACAGGTCAGTTAGCAAAAGCTATCGGCAATGCAATTTCAGAGCAATTGCAGTAAGACCCCAGCTATCACATCTTTGTTAAAGCACTACTAAGTAAATTAAGTTTGTAACACCTAACTCCAATATCTAAGTGCCACATTTAAGTCCTTTTTCCAGGTTTTCATAAACTAGTTGATTTTGTGCCTTTCAGCTATGTCTTTGTCTAATGGATTCCTTGGAGAACAGCCCAAGCACAGCTTGTATCCATTCACAGAAAAGGTTCCTATGTAGTATTGCTATGCCCACAAGGGCAAGAGTGATCTATGAAGATTTCCACTCACTCAGAAAGCTACCAATTGATATATTATGGATGGTCATTGACAGGTCCAATTCAGGGAAGTGAAAAAAGGGGAAATTGCAGATATAGTATAATACCTTTGTTTACTCAGCTGCTTTCTCCTTTTGCTAGTAAAAAAGTGGTAGTATCTTAAGAGCTATGAAATTCCTCAAAATTACAGCTCAGTAGCTACCAGAGTCTGGCATACACTGGGTGTTCAAGTAATATGTGTTGACTAAGCCTTTTGCCTACTTACTCTTATCAAAAGGGACACAAACATTGGTTTAAAACAAGTATTCTTCATTCACTTTAACGAAGCAGTCAAAAGCATTTAGTCAGCATCCATCTCACGTGAATCAGAGCTCTATGAGGAGCCCAAAGGAAGTGCTTGCTAAGATTTTTCACCCCGAAGGTCTTGCCCTGTCTTTTATGTGACGTGGCAGATTTTTTTTTTAAAAACTCACATCCGGAGCTAATTAATCAACTCTTTGGAAATTGGTTTCTAAGCCATTTGGCCACCAAGGAGATTATCAACATTATAAAATCAGTTTAGAGCCATTTTTAAGTGTTTAACATACTTTTATAATTTCCTAAATCAGCATATAAATCAGCTTGAAACAAAAGTTAGGAACTGTCAGTCAATGAATCAGTTAACCAAGCACTTGACATGATGTTAAGGGTCATTTGAAGGCGCACAAATAACGGCCCCTGCCGTTGACAAAACTGTCTATTTAGGAAGACAATATGTGTTCAGGGGAAAAACATCATGTAATAACGTAACATTATATTTACAACTTGTCACATTGATAGAACAGACAATACATGTTTCATTTTTCCCAGAATATCAATAAATTTGGGCTTTGCTAAAGTGAAACAGGGACCAAATGTATCCTGTCCATAACTCAACTTTTGAGGCCCTGATAGGAGGATCACAGCCCTTTGAAGATTAGAGTATAAAGTGCCATTTAGCATAGATAAACTATAAGGAATTCACTTGAGCCATAGGAGGAAATAAAAATAATTATTATTTTCTTTTTTTAAAACATTAGGTCATGGAACTAAAGGAGTGTTTGAGCTTCTGTCCGGATGGCGGAGAACCAAAGAGAACTTGCCCTTCAAAGACAGGATAGCAGATGCCTATTCTGATGTGATGGTCACCTATACCATGACCAGCTCCCTGTACTTCATCACTTTTGGCATGGGTGCCAGCCCATTCACAAACATAGAGGCTGTGAAGGTCTTCTGTCAAAACATGTGTGTCTCTATTCTGTTGAACTACTTCTACATTTTCTCCTTCTTTGGCTCCTGTCTGGTCTTTGCTGGCCAACTAGAGCAAAACCGCTACCACAGCATCTTTTGCTGTAAGATCCCTTCTGCAGAATACCTGGATCGCAAACCTGTGTGGTTCCAGACAGTGATGAGTGATGGGCATCAACAGACGTCCCATCATGAGACGAACCCCTACCAGCACCACTTCATTCAGCACTTCCTCCGTGAACATTATAATGAATGGATTACCAATATATATGTGAAGCCATTTGTTGTCATCCTCTATCTCATTTATGCCTCCTTCTCCTTCATGGGGTGCTTACAGATCAGTGACGGAGCCAACATCATCAATCTACTAGCCAGTGATTCGCCAAGTGTTTCCTATGCCATGGTTCAGCAGAAATATTTCAGCAACTATAGCCCTGTGATAGGATTCTACGTCTATGAGCCCCTAGAGTACTGGAACAGCAGCGTCCAGGATGACCTAAGAAGACTCTGTAGTGGATTCACTGCAGTGTCCTGGGTGGAGCAGTACTACCAGTTCCTGAAAGTCAGCAACGTCAGTGCCAATAACAAAAGTGACTTCATCAGTGTCCTGCAAAGCTCATTTTTAAAAAAGCCAGAATTCCAGCATTTTCGAAATGATATCATCTTCTCCAAGGCAGGGGATGAAAGCAATATCATTGCTTCTCGCTTGTATCTGGTGGCCAGGACTAGCAGAGACAAGCAGAAAGAAATCACAGAAGTGTTGGAAAAGCTGAGGCCCCTATCCCTCTCAAAGAGCATCCGATTCATCGTGTTCAACCCCTCCTTTGTCTTCATGGACCATTACAGCTTGTCTGTCACAGTGCCTGTTCTGATTGCAGGCTTTGGTGTTCTCCTGGTGTTAATCCTGACTTTTTTCCTAGTGATCCACCCTCTGGGAAACTTCTGGCTAATTCTTAGCGTCACCTCAATTGAGCTGGGCGTTCTGGGCTTAATGACATTATGGAACGTCGACATGGATTGCATTTCTATCTTGTGCCTTATCTACACCTTGAATTTCGCCATTGACCACTGTGCACCACTGCTTTTCACATTTGTATTAGCAACTGAGCACACCCGAACACAATGTATAAAAAGCTCCTTGCAAGACCATGGGACAGCCATTTTGCAAAATGTTACTTCTTTTCTTATTGGGTTAGTCCCCCTTCTATTTGTGCCTTCGAACCTGACCTTCACACTGTTCAAATGCTTGCTGCTCACTGGGGGTTGCACACTTCTGCACTGTTTTGTTATTTTACCTGTGTTCCTAACGTTTTTCCCCCCTTCCAAAAAGCACCACAAGAAAAAGAAACGTGCCAAGCGAAAGGAGAGAGAGGAAATTGAATGCATAGAAATTCAAGAGAACCCGGATCACGTCACCACAGTATGAGGGGTATAGACCAGTGGATTATTTTTCTTTTCCAGTATTGCACAATGATGCAGGGCAAGTAAAGCTCAGACCTCAGCTGCTTGGGCTGGCCAGGGGTAACAAGGCAAGTCAGATCAAGAGTGCATTATTCATGACACTTCAAGGTGCCTGCTTCTTGGGGGGAAGAGGGAATAAAAAAAGAGGAAAAAGTTATTTGCAACCTTGTTCTCCTCTAAAAACAAGTTTCTGGATGTAATCTGAGAGCTCTTCCAAGGAATGGATGAATCAATGGAGTGTTAAGATAGAAGGCCAAAATAACCAGCTTCTTTTAAAAATAAAATGCTTAGGAGTGATGGAGAAGCAAGGAAAGGTGTCCTTCAAATAGGGGGAAAGACATGGGAAATGTGCCATGGCACTTTTCATGCTTGTTTTTTGAACAGGTTGGTCAAAGGAAACCTATGCACTTGGGAAGTACATATTTAATACTGTCTAAACCAAAGGACTTCCCAATCCATTTTATGTGTACATATATATGTATATATCCCGTATATACATATACTTAGTTTTGTCTTTAGGGTACATTGACGTTTATGTGGAGGGAGCTGTCCATTTGAAGATAGGCTGGCTTTTCCCTAGAAAGTCAAATCAACCTTAGCCAAATTTATAGATTCATTAATAGCCGTTCTAAATCAACCCAAGTGTCTCAGCAGTCAGTGTGTCATTCAACTGTGGGATGAGCAAAATAAACAGAGATGTGAGTTCATTAGATTATGCATATCATGTCAGCAGTCATCTAGACTTTTGCTTTGGATGACTTCACAAGAAAACACAAAAGGCATTTGAATTAATTACCACATGGACAAGGTTTACTGTTTCATATTAGAAATAAACAGTTGATATGGATTTTCGTTGGCTTTTACTGTATTTGGAAGACTGATATGGCTGCTTTCAGTGAGCTCACCCAATTGCAAATGAGCGCTTTACACAGATTATCCATACATGAGTCTAAGGGTGCACAAGTATGTGTATGTGAGTTGGGGTACTCCATAGTTACACCGTTCTTATTTTAGATAGGGAAAATAACTGTCATGGAATATAGATAATTAACATAGGAGAAAGGAGACATAACTAGGAAACTCGTAGAGTGAAATAGAATAAAATGGACCATACCCACTCATCACATGCCATCTACTAGTTCTTAGCATAAGGAAACTATTCTAATCCTATAAACTCTAGTGTATTCCTTGCATTAGTATTTGGAACATAACCCAGGCCATGATCACTATAGTAGTGTTCACTACACCTACTGCAGTACCATTTGTAGCTTCTCACAATAGTGTTGCTCTTGTTACCTGGAAAGTGCTCCTCGGTTGGCCCACCTCCTAGGGTGATCGCAGCTCTCCACAGGTGGGATATTAACTATAACTGCTGCTGAATTCTTTCTCAAACAAAAGTACTGAGGTAAATGTTTTCATTAAGTTAAAGTTTAAAACTACTCCCAAGCACCTGTTGGGTGCTTACTTGGACTATTGCTGTGCCTCCTGTCACAGGAAATTACTAGAAAATGCCTTTTCCCATGCCAAGCAGTAACATAATTTATTTCCAGGTAGGACAGAATAAATGTCCGATGATTATAAAATCTGCTAGTAAGCTCTTTTACCTAGAAGAAAGCTACTACTTCCCATCAACTTTGGTTCTATGTTTTAATCAAATTAATAATACCTAAAATAACAAAACTCCTTGACTCAATTATGTTCAGAAAAAAGGTACAAACCATTCCATTCTCGTTATAGTCTCTGGAAATGAAGTTGATAGACTAATGAAGTAACAAAACAAGTATACTTAGACATATAACTTTCCAGAATATAAAGGGGAAAGGGAACAGACCCTAAAATGAAAACATTTAAGTAATATTTCATTTATTAAATGGAGTTTGTTTTGTTTTACCTTGAGGTAATTGGGTTTCAACAGGAAATGATCTATGTCTTCTCCATTGTGTCAGTTTCAGTGCAATATCTATAGATTTGAGTGGGGAAAATTATTGCCCATAATCATAGGGTTATTGTTTTTACATTATTTGTAAAGTCATGTCACAAATACTCCTAGCCTTTTGCCTCATGAACTGCTGTACTAGAATGAACTGGTATTTGGTACGAGTAGCCTCCAGACCATGATCTCATATCTGAAGTAGAAGTTTCAGAGGAGGTTTTTGGTTGGGTTTTGATTTTTTGTTTGGGTGGGAGTTTTGTAGTGGGGGTGCAGGGAGGAGGAGAATTCCTCTTACAGATTACCCATCATTTGTAAAGATTTGATATGGAAGATTTTTATCTCCCATATCAAAATATGGGAGATAATCACTGAGAAAGTTAATTAACTATCACTCCTTTTCTTCCCATTGTGTGCCATGCTCCACTCATTCACCTATTTTTTAAAAGATTGGCTATTGGGGTTGGTTTTTTCTTGGTTCCTATAGACCATTCTGCATGCAAAGAAGAATGGCAGGCTGATTTACAGGGAAAGAATCAAGCATGCCAGTTGTCAAAAGCACATGGAGGAAATGGTATACACTGCCAAATGACCAGGGCAGATCTAATATTATGTCTCCATCCAGATAGTCTCTGTTTAGATAGGGAAAAACAGTTCTTTTTTAGTTTATGTCTTCAAGGATCAAAGTGTCTAAGATAAATATGAATTTCTCATTGTTCGAGTGACTAGAGGGCATTTTGGAAGGAACATTATCTTTTCCAGGACACCGTAGTACTCTTTAGAGAACTGTAGCAATAATTTACTGAAATGGAATTATTTGTTCTGGAAGAGTTAATATACCACCTAAAGTGTCTTAATGCAGTCCTAGGAAGTAATTTAATCCTAAGAAGAATCTAACAGAGCATCGTCTGACCTCCCAACCTCACTGTGAAACAGATGTTTCCAAGAATTCCATTTCCTGAATACTAAGATACATCCTAAGATATGAGATCATGACTTGCAGGTCACCCCCAATCCCAACCTTTTTTGGTAGCTTGTATGCACCTCTCCCTAGTTTTTCCAGTTTGCACTCATTGTTTTGTTCATTTATGAAGTACTAATGCCATTCAAATTAGGAACTTATCTGTTGTCAGCAGATGACCAATCAACTCCTAGAAGAGAAGAAATTTGTGGGAAATATGTTAGCTTTGTGTAATATTTTATTTAATTGAAACATATATGCCCTTAAAGTAAGAGGTTATAAAGTTTGAAAAAACTACTCTTTTTCTGTATGTAAACTGGAATGTGGATTTATTTCCTTCCATCAGAATTTAAATTTGAATTGGAAAGTGCCATGTGAGCTCCACTCTCTTTGATGTTAATAAACTTCAAAGAGGTACTCACCTAAATTACAGAGAGATCAGCTAAAAGATTTTTTACCGTTTATGGTTAAAGGTAATCATACCTTAGAGATTTGATTCTTTAGACCAGCCTTAATTCTTTTTAATGAAAGTCATGTTTAGATGTCTTCCCAGGAATTCTTGCAGTTACTATGAACCTCTTTGAAGGCTGTGCATGAGTATTCTATGAAAGAACTATTCTCCTCTGTTGTTGTATCATGTAAGTGGCCCTTTCCTATTTGATTCCCATTTATTTCCACAGAATTTAGGTTTTTACCTTGTGAGGTGAGAAGAATAATGATGACAAATGTTTTATGATGCTATTATAGTTATTCTTGAATGTTAAATTCAAGACAGTAAAAGCTTTGTCCATTTTGTAATTATCTATCACATTTCCCCGTAATAAGCTAATCCTTCTAGGCTTGTGGTTAGAGCTAAGGATTAACTATTGCCATTCAGAATTACATGTATTTTTATAAGTTGACTGTAAATATCATAATTACAGTCACATATTTTTATGACCAAATAGTTATGAATGCACGGCACTATGCATGCTTTGTTATTAATAGTACATAGGTTATTAAAGACACTATTTTCAGGGTTATTGCAACTTTTATTAAAATTTCTTACATCACCTATTCATAAATGCCTCATGGCTTTTGGTCTTAAGGGCCTAAAGTCCACAGAAAGTTCCATCCCCAGGTAAGCAATTTAAGAATTGCCTTCCCTGGGTATCAGTAACAACCACCTCTTCTAGAATGGACTTCGGAAAATCTCAGAAGTGAAATCTGGCTTCCAGGCAAAGGGCCTAGTATATTCTGTATTGGTTAGTAAATAAACATAATTTTATGTCTTGTGTTTGCTAATCTTATGGTGAAGCAGAAAATACAATGCCATGAGACTGACATTTAGATATTGTCTCTTAGAGATTGGAGAAGTCAATGATTTGCTCGGCATCCTACTACAGGGATCTTTCTGTTCAGTCTGGTTTGTTGGTGTCTGCGAAGGATATTGGCAATCTTTGCAAAAGTGAATCTGAAAACTGTTACTTATTCCAAAAGAGCCTCAGAAGCACTTTTCTTCCCTTTACAAACAAAAAACAAACAAAAAAAGTTTTAGCTTTTTCTCAATTACCAAAATTTTGTGACAATTTTATGACATTGACCCAAAACATATTTATGGCTGAATTGGTATGCCCTTGCTATTTCCCCATCTTCAATCTCAATATGAAATTGAACATCATCACTGTGGTGCGGACCTTTATGCTAATATTTTAAATCAGTGAGCTGCAGATATATAGGATAGGGAAAAATCAAGTTTTTTACTACTTTGTCTACAAAATAACTACAATGATATTGACCCAAATGAAAGCAGCAAAATCATAAGTGAAAGCAACAAAGCCACACTGCATGAGATCCAGCAGGGGAGGGACTGTGTATGGGTATAGCAGCAGTAAATTACCTTGATTTATCAACTAAAGGACCAAGATTAATCCACCATCACGTTTAACTTAGGAGCACAAGAGGTGGTGTTCTGTGTTTGAAGTGTTGTGGAGTTAGATCAGGCAACATTTGAAATGACACTGGAAGGATATTGAGAGATGAGCCCACATCTCAGAAATCAAGATGTCTGTAAGTAGGTGTGATAGAACAAGTGGAATAATACCACATATTCTGTGATTTAGAATACAGCAGAGAGAATCACGTGGTGTTGCAAAACTATAGATTCTCAACTGCTAGCAAACTTGATCATAGGCAAATACATTGCACTTGAAGACTGGGTTCTCATTTGTTAGATTCATAACCTAATCTTTGCAGTGGGAGGTGCTCCTGAATTTCCAAGCACAAAGGAAGAGCCGTAGACCCTTTTGTTAGTGAAAGTGAAAAGCTAGGGAGACTCTTTGTAAAGAAGCTTAAAGTAAGCACCGACATAAGCATCATTCATTCCCAGAGTGGCTCTCATTGACTATATTTTGTGAGTCTTTGAGTCATAATGAACACTTTTTCTAATCAGTTTTTTTCATACTTAATGAGGACTCTCTATTGCTGATAGAGAAGCCACTTGCTTTTCTTATAAAACGGAAAACAACTCAAAAGAGCAATATATAGGGTTAAGAATATATTTATAGTATAACTTCCTAGTCTACAAATCACATTTTATGTCTTCTGCATCTCTAAAGATGTAAAAATTAAATGGGAGTGTACCTTAAACTGAAAACCTCTATAAGGTAGATATTTTTAATATAATAAAGTATTTATAAAGGAAACTATCACTGATTTTGCACTATCTTAAATTATAGAAAGCCAGCTTCTACTATTTTTCCCCAGTTGAAAATTTCCCTTAAGAAAGGTCTCACAGGTCATGGTAATTATAAAATCTTAAAAATCAGAAAGAAACTTTAGGAACAGAGTAGGAATCACCACTGATGGTGTGTGATTCCTGCTGTGTATGATTTCATTGCACTTATCTGAGCTGAGGTTTTTAGAAGCCATTTGTAGCTGAGCTCTGGTTTCCCAACAGCTAATGGCATGGTCTAATAGAGGAGCATTACGGTTTTCTTTCCCTCTGTTGCCACAGTTTGTAGAGTAAGCACATTGCCCACAAGGCTCTGTCAAACCAGAGGGGGAAAAAAATTCTAATGCTTTGGAAGACTGCATTGAAGAATTTCCTAGGAATAACTAGGAAACACTCTCATGGACGAAAGATTACTGGTGTTTAATAAAAATGTATAACTTTTCAGTGCTATATAAATTTAACTTATATTCTCAGTAGCGGCAGTCTACAGTATGTTATGGGGAGCATTTAAATTATCTAATGTAATATGGTTACTAGAATCTCTCCCTGGACACGGAAACACCTTCTATCATTTTATCTGATGAATTCACTGGTTGTTGGTAGCAACACTGATAGAGCTGGGGAAAAAAAAAAAAGAATAAGCCGTCATATTCTTGCATCTCCTGGTACAGTCTGTAGCATCTATTTTCAAGTAGAATAAGGGAATTCTGGCATCTTTTCTTCACAAACATAAATGTGCTACAAACTGATAAACTAGACCTTAAACTAGTCAATGCAAATATCCCAAAGTTTTAGTAGTTTAAGCAACAACTTTATTATACTTTCCTGTTAATTATGCATATTTTTCAGCAGTAGACTTTTTTGCTCTGAACTAGGAAATCTGTCACAGATTGAAAAGGGCAGAGATCTCTCCAAGCTACCTCATAAGGGTATTTAAAGACAAAATGGCATGCAATCTTTGATTAAATGGCAATATATTAAAGCCACAAAGCAATATTATTTATCACCTTTCCTTGATGCTCATTCACTTTATCAAATTAGACAAGGCAAAATGTAAAATGAGCACTCCTATATGCAGTCCCACTTATACATTCTGGTTAACATAATATTCATTAATATGAAATCTTTCAAGGCAGTTGTTAGTTGTCTCCCTACAGATATCCCAGAGCTCAAAAATTGACTCAGAAAGAGAGTAATCTGACTTTGATTAGAGGCAGCAGTCTACCCAGTAAGATGCACAAATAATCTGTGAATAACTTCAGAAAAATTCCAAGTGCATTTCACTTATCACTTTTCTTGGAGGAAAAAATCTGTTCGGGTGTTTGTTTGTTTATTCTAGGCAAATAGAAAGAGACAAAGTTACCATTATTTGGCATTTTACTTAAGTTTTCTTTTCCTCTGGAAGGCATTGCTATTATTTTCTGCTAAATCGGGGTTTTTAAAACACAAGTCACTTACGGAAACATTAGCATCAGTGAAAAGAAAACTCCTAGGGAGAAACAGTCTTCACCCATGCATAGACAAATTGTAGAAATGAGAGTAAAAGTTGAGCATTTTTATTTTCTTTCCTAAAACAAAACCCACTTGTTCTTAATCCTAGCTAGACAAAATACCAGTTTCTACAGCAAAGAAGGGTGACTAAATGTATGAAATTATGAAACTTTGATGTATTAACACTACAAACCTCATGGCAAACCATCAATTCCAGATGTCTTTACCCATAACAATATTCCTTCTAAAATACTCTATTACATATAGGTTCATCCCATTCATGAAAACAGCCTCATTTATCACTCCCAAAATAGTACAAACAAAGCCATTTTAGGTTTCTGCTCTGTAGTTCTGTACCTTGGGCTCTACAACTAAAGCTACCTTACTGAGGAAAGCTTAAAAACGAATTGTGAACAAAAATGTCAAATCAAAAAAACATTACCCAAGTTGTATTTCCATCCAAAAATATCTCCTGTGAAATAGAAGACTGCTGTGTAGCCATTTTAGATCTCACAAAGAAGAAAATATTCTAAAAGTACCTATTTTTGATCTTACTAAGAACCCAAACCAAAAGTCCTTCCAAAGTTTCCAAAGTTTCCAATTCACCTGAATTTGGTCCATTATCAAAATTTACCTCTATGTTGATCAGTGAAAAAACATTTTGCAAAACAGGTTTTTCTTAACTATAATAGAAACAAATAAAGAACAAATTATTTCCCATAGATTTGCATGTGTAAACACACATTTAATAATTAAATGAATCTCATACCTCAGTCAAGGGAAATTATGTTCCAAATATTTCCTTGTTCGGTTCATCATTATTTTCATGTTTTGGACACACTGAAATACAATAATTTTAGTTAAATTGCTCATAATTTATCTGCATGACAAATCTATTATCTAAAGCTTACAGGTACAAATCTTAAGAAAAATAACAATTAAATCTTAGCTACTTGGAAAAAAAAGTCATCAAAATCATATTTACTACAGTGCCACTAGGCAAAGTTAAACAGCATTTCTGGCTATCTCAACTTTTTATTTTAACAACAAAAGAAATCTAGTTCCATTAGTCATAATAATAGAAATAATTTATATATTAAAGTAGTGATAAATTATACAGGTGTATATTCTATAGTTCTTAGGGTCAAATATGAGGTCTTTTAAAATCACAATCACAAATGCTGTAAAAGCTAGGTTATTCTTAAATTCGCCAGATTTTTCTTCATTCTTTATTGTTAGTATTAAATGCCCCACAGAATATTATAATATGCAACTTATTCCTCTAACCTCAGTGAGAACTTCGAGCATGCTACCTTTTAATTCTAGGCTAAGAATTAAACTTCCTAAACAAAACATCTTATAACATCACAATGTAAAATAACATAATCTATGTTTTTTTAGTATTTTATTGAATCACAAGTTCTAAAACTTATAATGTAATTTTTTATCCTTTAAACATTCAAGAATACATACATTAAAATAATACTGTGATGATATATATCAATTATCTCTCCGTGGTTAAGATAAAGCATTCTGAAGCAAATACAAAATGTCTTGGCATTCCTGAGAGATATTTTTATGAATCCCTAAGTTCACAAATGTCTCTAAAACACATAAATTACTAAAGCATTACTAAAAGATTCAGATAGCACTTTAACACCCCTTAATAATTATGTTACCTTCAAATCTACAGCAATTTATAATCGGGTCAAATAAATTCTACCTAAAATTTATCACTGCATTACATTGCATTATTGTAGTAATATTAACTATAAAAATACTTGAACCAACATTTTTCTCACCATATGAGAGCTGCAGAAGATGGAGACAATGAGTGAGCCAGCGGCTCCTCAGTAGTACCCAGAGATTAATCACAAAGCACATCCCTTTGGCTGCACGCTATACAGTTTCAAGCTGGGGCATAATTGTTCAGGGGCTATCAGCACCACTTCTAAGTCACTAAAACCAATCATGTTAAATATTTCAATATCCAAGTCCACTGTATTTTGATGAATAATGTGGTGGCATTATACATAACGCATAGATAACCAACATTCAAAATATGTAAGGTCACTTGATGCCAAAATTATACTTAAACAATTTAATATTCCACAAGCCACTTCAAAAGCTTTATCATTGCAAAGCTCTCCTCATTATTGACGTATGATGAGGAGACCAAAGAAGTCTTAGTAATATTTCATTTTATATAGTTTGCCGTATGTTTTCTTAAAAACAAGGATGCCTTTATGTCTTTCCTGGAAATGTTTGGACTTATTCAATAGCCATTTTCCTGTCCAAATTTAGTATTTTAATTATTAATTTTATTCTGCTTTTTTCCTTTAAATATGTTCAACTTTTATCATTTCTAAAATAACTTTTCTTTAGAGTAATTAAGCATGTTTTCTCCTTTACATAAAAATAAGCATGGCTAGAAAGGAATGAAATAAGAACTCAGAAAAATTAAGCTGGACATTTGGAACCTATTTGCAAATACTAAATAAAGTTTGCAAAAGTACTATTTATTGTCATTTATATGTGCTTCAAGTTGAAATTCTCCACTGATTTTATTTTAAAAATGGCAACTGACATGCCAAACTATGAAGCACACAATGTCTGCTTTGCAGACGTTCAGTAATTATCCATTCAGTGAAGAAAAATATAAAAGACTTCTCCAGCTTATCAGTTGCCTGCTCATGACCTAATGAAAAGGAGGTTATTTAATAATTTCAATCTTTGAGAGCCCATATTCAGAAGCTTTTGTTGTTGTTTTGTTTCATTTTCTTGAATTTTCCTATATAGCCAGTTACACAATAATAAGGCCCCATATAAAGGAAGAATTTCAAGTTTGTTGGTAATAACTGTCCTTTCCTATAAGTTGAAATGCTACAACCTAGAGCTATACACATCTTGATAGTAAAATAAGGGAGAATGTGATCCAACATAAAGAAAAATTAAGGACAAGGGTGTTTTTTTAAAAAAAAAGGTAAAGTGAGAAAAAATTTTAAAACGGATCTAAAACTGTTGAAGAAGGGACTAAACAACTGAACTGAAACCTTTTTTTTATTTAGTTTCTGTTCATTAGCTTAGTTAGGCTTTAAAAACAAAGGAACACATTGGAAAGTTTCAGAAAAACCCTGACATATCTAAGTCTCCAAAAAGTTTGTTACTCTTTAAAAAGATAGAACTAGAAATTCAGTCCCATTTTAGGATCAAGATTTGATGTAGATGGGTTTCTGAAGTACCCCTAGATGGCTTGTGATTGTACCTATTTACTTACCTCATATTTAGGAGCACCTATATTGGTCTCTGTGCTAGGCTCAGAAGAAAATACCACTAAACTATTCATAGTTCCTGACTTTGAGGTATGCATGATCTGTTGAGGAAATTTGCAGCTGGAGTATTCAAGGAAAGTAAGGAAGGAATTATGAACTGATCCACATTGAAGTGTGGGTAAGATTCTAATAGATAGAGATGGAGGATGGGCTCAACAGTCAGGGAGAAAAAGTGAAATATACAAGGGCAGGAAAGCAGGTTGTCCAGGATGAAGGCTATAACAGATGAGATGATAGCAACCCAGAAGAGACTTGTTACAGATGGGAATAAAAAGGAAGCGCCCATTGTGAGTGGTATTATAAAGCATTGCCAGGATATGGGGAGTTACTTGGATTTTGGAGAGGGATCATAAAGAAAAAGCTCTTTTTATGATGTATCCTTGGGCTTAAATGCAGTGAATGGTTTACAAAATGTAAATACACAGTCTCTATTTTTGAATTTTAACTGTTAAAATCAAGGATCCCAAAACTGAGCAATATCACATAAATTTATAATCTCTCTTGCTTTGAAATGTAGTGGTTGCAAGAGCCAGTTTAGAGCATGAGTTTGATTCTCCTGATGATGGAACACCGTCCACGTTCTGGCACAAAAGCCCTCAAAGTGTGAGAGTAAGAGACTGACATGGATTGCTGGGAACCCAAACTCTCCAGAACAAACAGCTCAAACTAATACACTCCAATTAACTATCTCTGTTAATATTATTTTAATTAACAATTCAAATAATACCTGCCTAATAGAATAGGTATTATTGTCCCTGATTTATAGATTGTTCCCAGAAAGAAAACATTGTAAACAAGTACTATGTCCCTATGGTAAAATATATCATCTTTTCATCATAAATCAGTATGAAAGGTGCATGTACAGAGAAGTCCAAATGTAAATTATATGTGATGAAAAATAACTGCATAGATTTTCTCCCCATCTATCCTTTTCTAAATGTAAATTTTAAGACAATGAGTTTGTTAAAATGCTTAAAACTATTTTTTAAATTCACTTCCTTATGATTCACTGATGCTTTCTTTGAAGATCACATAAGGTACATATGCACTTAGTTTTTAAGCATAAACCTAACTGATTTATACATTACCCTTGTCCTTTTTAATAGTTAAAGTTTTAATTATAATAGTGGTGCTCCCCAAAACCAGCAATCATATTACAAGATGTTTGGAGGAATATATTTTAAACTTTAAACCTGAAAAAAGCATTTCCTAATTATGCTTTTTAGAGTTATAGATAAGGTTGGAGTTGGCCTGGGGAGGCCCCATTTTCCAACTGGTTCACGAGGAGGACATCTGTTCACAGAAGTAGAATGGAGATAAATCCAACAACCAAGTGGCCATACGAGACCATGGTCAACAAACACACTCTAAGAGACATTTTGGATAACCCTAGGAGTAACAAAGCTAGTGGTTCTCAAAATTTGCTGTACTTTGGAATGACCTAGAGAGATGTTTAAAGTCTCAATGCCCAGACTTCATGCCAGACTACTTAAATCAATATATCCTATAGCGAGACCCAACCTCAGTACTTCTGGGAGTTCCCATAGTGATTTCAATGTGTGGCTCAATTTGAAAAACAGTGGCTTAGACAACCAAGTCAACACATTTAATCCAATAAATACTGATAGAGCCTTTTATTAAGTGAAGTTTTAAAAAGTCACAAGACAAAAGCGTCTGTGACATCTATAACTAGAATATAAGCCAGAACTTGTACAGAGTCCAAAAGGAGATATCCAGAGGGTAGAGAGATGATTTCTAGTAGAGCCAAACCTGGTATGAGTGTGTTGCATTAAGATAGCACTTAAGATGAGGTAAGATTATTGGCCTGAGCACCCCATGTGACGGGACCAGACTGAGCAAAGCCATAACATGCAACAAAAGCACAGAATATGTTCCTGGGTCAACGAACTCAATTTAGCTTGAGGGTACATTTCCAGTACAGGAGTTGAATTTGTACAAACCAGAAAGTTTCATATAAGGACCTGCAAACATCATGCTGCAGAATTTATATTTGATTTGATGGACTCAGATTACTTTTTATTATTATTATTATTAGATTCAAAATTTAGAAGTATTAATCTGCAATGTTCTAAGTGTAGGTTAGACTGGAGATGAGAGACCTGAACCAAAGAATTAAGTTAGGAGGCTGTTGTGGTCATCAGCAATGAAGGTAATATTGGCCTGAAATAGAGTTGTGGCACTGAATATAAAAAGGAAGAAATAAATACAATTCACAAAACTTATATCTGTAAGATGGCCTGAACACCCAAGAACTTTGAGTGTCTAAAACACAACAATATTCACATTAGTGAATTTAATGTGGTATAACAGTAACTAGTTATTAGCTCTGTGTGATCTATTTACTACAATACTCTAATGTATAGTTTAATCTTCACATTCCTGTGGTTTTGACATGCAGCGTGGCCCATTTTTATAACATTTGTAAAGCTTTACCACAAATTTTCAGGAAATTGCTTTATCTTTACAGAACAGTTGATTTGGTTTTCTGCATATCTAACTTGGGGAAAAATGGTTTATATTGCATTAATTAAATTCAGTAAATAAAAGATGAGTCAAAGAGGAAGAAACGAATATCTTAGGAACATAAATAGGCAGTCTAATCTTTTATACTTTTTTCCATGTAAAATTACTGGATACTCAGGTATATATAACTCTTATCTACATGCACGTATTATAGCTAGAGACACTACAATAGTATCTAGATTAATCTACATATATAAACATCAATTTAATTAGCAAATAATTCTTGAGATTTATTTGCATTTCAGGGAATTTAGCAGTTCAGGTGATTTATGCTTAGAAACAAGATCACTGTTCCTCCCACAATCAGAGATCTGCTCTGCAGTCATCTTCTATGAAAGTTATGTATAAGGCACATGCTTTTATTCTACCATAAAGATGTAGTATTGCAATGTTATGTCAGCACTGGACAAAGATGGATATATATGTAAAATGTAATTTTCACAACATATCCTTACACATAGTTACACATTCATTGGATGGCCTGTCTCTAATTCAAAACTTTTCCTATGGTATAATTGTCCTGTCAAATATTTCACACATACATGGTTTTAACATTAGCATTAAAATGACCTGTGAAAATAATCCATATGAACTCTTTGTATTCTTCTACAGTCATAGAACTAAAATACGTGAGGATGAGGAAGCAGATAACAACTTGAGAAAATGTAAAAGAGTTGGAACTTGGAGCCACAGTGCCATGCAATGGGGCCACACAGCAGCTTGATCATCCACGTAGCTTTATGCGATGCCCTTTGGGTCATGGCTTTCACCAGGTAGCTTACTCAAAAAAAATGTAATTATCTATTAACCCCTTTATTCTCCAAATCTTTCATTCAAGAAGAATTTTAAACATCTTCTATGTGCCAGACACATAGAGAGTAAATGCAAAGAGAAATGAGAGGCAGCCACTACCCATCAAGGATTTTAGCAAAGCAAACTAGTAGGTGAAATAGCCATATATATATATGTGTGTGTGTGTGTATATATATATCTCAAAAATAATGGGCTCCATTTATAGAGCAGCGATTCTCCCACTTAAGCATGTATCAAAATCACCTGGAGGGCTTGTCAAAGCACAGCCTGCATATCCCCATCTCCAGAGGTTCTGATTCAATAGATCTGGAGTGAGGCCTGAAAATTTACATTTCTAACAAGTTTTCAGGTGATGCTAATGCTACTAGTCTGAGGAACCACACTTGGACTTTGAAAATCTCTGAAATCTAAGTTTGTGAACAGCAACAGACATTCTGAGAATAGTTGGATTAAATCTGTCCAGGGAAGAAGGTGAGGACAAAGGTCAGCTTCTCACCACTAGGCCTGAAAGGCTGCATAGTTGAAGAGTGCAAAGACATTCCAGTTTGAAGAAAAGAAATTACCTGAACTAAGGCCATATCTGACAAGTCTACCTGTTGGTAGAACTCATCTAGAAGACTTTTTAAACTCTTGAAGGGATGGCCTTAGTAATCTCTATTTGTAATAAGTTGCTCTGGACAGTCTTTTCATGAAGAAAATTTAGGAACATGGAACCAAGGCGTAGAGTATAAAAGAATGTGTCATTTTCAGAGAAGTCCTGTTATAGACTGGTTTAACTAGAACCACTGTATACTAGAACTAGCACTCTATACTAGAACTAGATTCATGTAGGACATGAGTTAAGTTTGAATTTCCAATAATCAGTGAATGAAATTTTTAGTACAAGTATGTTTCATGCAATATTTGGAATCTACTATACTAAAAATACTTGTTTCTCTGAAATTCAAATTTAACTGGGCATATTGCATTTTTACTTGCTAAATCTCACAACCCTAAGAATGTAGGGTATGTGTCAGGTGGAGAAAAGAACCAGAAATAATGAGGCTGAAACACTATTATATTATTAGGCCAAATAATAGTAAAGTACTATTTTTCATGTGGGATATGCAAGTGTAGCATGTAGCTAATGAAGCTTAAATTTCTGAGCCCATTGCTTACATAAGTCTTTTGGAGGCCCTAGGACAGTCCTTAGCAGTATGTTCACATCTTATGTTTATATAAAATTTTCAAATGTATGATATTTTTGCATTCTTTTCCTTAAAAGGGGACTCCAAAAATGTATACACTTCAGGCTCAACAAAATTTTGATCTGCCCCTGCATGTGGGACCACATAAGTCTCAGATACAACACAAAAATCATATTGATAAATACCAACTCTTAAGTAAAAAGTTAAGTACAATGAATGCCCAGAGAATTTGAAGATCTTTTTGTTCCTATATTATCACGAAATGCTACTTGAAATTAAAATGGCTTCAACACTGGCAAAATGAAGCCTATTCTTTGAATTACCCTCAATGTGTGAAATTAATGTTCCAGTAGCATAAAGACAGTATTTGATTTCCCAGATATAATTGACCATGGGTCATTATGTTCATGGAGCATCTTAAAGAACTAGTGTTCCAGGAAGCAAACATTGATAATGTCATGTTAGAGAAGCCTGTCTTTGTTACTGAAGAGCAGATGAGTATTACAATTCCAAAGGAAACAGTATTAATGGGTCTGTGTGGAAATCAGTTCTTATTTTCTAAACAATATTGCTGATTTCTAGCTATTTGAGTAATTTATAACCTAATAGAAGAAAAGAATACTTAAGGAAAAATGATTCATCAGCATGAATTTCAATTAAAATAACACAGAACTAATTTTTCCCTTCTGTCCCAGTACAATTTCAGGGAATGAGAAGTAAGCAAATGGAAACCAAGTTAAACTAGACCATAAATAGTAAAATATGAAGAAAAAAATTGACAAATGGCCAGGAAACCAAATAAATAAACAGGTTGATATTTTATTTTTCATTCTTTTGAAAATGATATAGCATTCTAGAATAATTGAAAAATTTTGATCTTGAATAAAAGACTTCAGGAAGGTTATTTCTTGGAGAACTTCAATGAAGGGAAAAGGGGGAAAGCAGCCTACAAAAAAAATTTAGTATGTGTTGAAAATGGTTGTAAGTAGATCTTTGGTCCCAACAGCACAGCTACTAAACTATGATATACGCCAGACCCAAGATATTAAAAAAAAAGCCATAATGCAACAAAAGTAATGATTGGCAAAACCGATAATTCATTAAAAATCCATCAGGCCTCCTAAAGGCCAACTTGGTCATACCTATACAATAAAGAAGTGCTGAAACTCCAATCAGAGTTACACACAATATGTAAGTCAAATATCTCTTACCAAATGTTCCAATAGATTTTCTTTTTGTATTAAATTCGAATACTTAGAGTACTGGGTTATGTTCAATAATAGGAAGTCACAGCTAAAAGTCGACAAAGAGAATAACTGATTGGAAGAACTTTTTCGATAACAGGAAATATGGACAGTTACCTAGGAACTAGGAAAATAAAATGACCTGATGAACTAGCCATATCATTCATTCATTAATCCATCCAACAAACATGGATTAAGAACCTATAATGTGCCAAGTGATGTACAAAGTCCTGTGTGAGGGACAAAGCAGTTCAAATTGCTCAGCGGAATACTTTAATGTCTCATAAAAAGAAGAAAGTAACTATTTGCTTTCACTGAAACATTTGTTATGAGACATTGGCAAAACTAGAGTTATTATTTATTTGCCTGCTATTAACCTAATTAACCTGCTATTAATCTAAAAATTGTTCAAGATTCTTAGTTAACATGTCTTCCATAATAAATAGAAGTTGCTATACTGATTTTTTTGTTTGTTGGACATAAATGTCAATGAGTACTAGATGTGTTTTGGACAAAATGGTAAGATAGGAAGGCAAGGATGCCTAATGATTGATTAGTGTATTAAACACAGCAGATACAGCCTTGAGGGTATACATCTTTTTGTTTGAAATTAATACACTTAAACAAATTAGTGAATGTAAGTGTAAATAGGTTCCCAAACTCATAATTTTACCCAAAAGAAATAAATACTAGTAAGTAAACAGTCAGGCAAGAATTGAGACACAAATAAAATTTTTTTAAAAAATAGTTTTATGAAAGAACATCAGCAAGGAGTGTTAATGAGTCGTTTTCTACCCTGTTGCCACCTCTTCTATTTAGCACAGCAATGACTAAGACATATTTAGAAGGATGGCCTAAAGAAAAATCAGGACTAAGTAGTTTAGGTAAAAAGAAGAATTCATCTACAGATGGAGAAAAACAATCTTGCCCTTCTTCACGCCAAGTTCCAACATGTTTGAAATTTAGCACTGGAGGGATTGGGAGAGCTCAATAATTAGACTGCGATTGAAATGTTCCACTAAAATAATGATTAGAGAGGCATCCAGGGGCACTTTCTATCTTCTTCATTCGACCTCAGCATGGAGCACATCAACTCTGTTTCTTAGTTGGACTATACTACCTTAGATACAGAACTGATTTTTAAAAGTATATAAAATTATTTCAAGTCTAAAAATCATAAAGAGTTTATCTCAGGATAAATAATTTTTATGAAAGTATTTTATCGCCAGTTCATTTGTAACCTAATTGCTTTGCTTAAGTAGATAAATCCCAAGCAATGAGTGAAATAAACTAGTAGACTAGTGGGTTTTTAACCCTCTACCTATGTCTCTCAAATGTTTATAATTTCTGCTCCACTAATAGCCCTGACCCTGCTAGGTAACAATACTCTAGGAAATTGAAGATATGAGTTCAGAGAAAAAAAATCATAAAGGAAGATAGACATTGTGAAGAATGGGCAGTAGTGCTAATGTAAAGAAAGAAAGAAGGCTGCATGGATGAGGGATTACATTTTCTGTAGGACAGGAAGAAGAGATCTACAGATGTATAGGTATAAGCTCTAAGTTGGGATAAGCAATGATGTAGATTACTAAACAAAATCAGATCATGTGTCTTATCCACTGAGTTCTACCTTAATGTTTTTGTTTTCATGGCTATATTCTCAAAATACCTGAATTTGTTTTTAGAGTCATATATTTCTTTGTCTTTTCTTAATTGACAGTTTTATATATTTCTTTCATTTCTTTCTTGATTACCTTGAGTTTAACATCATGTGCTATATGGGATGAAGAAAAAGTATGATGTGTTTTCTACCTTTAAATTGCTTGCAATCTCTTTAAAGATGCTGACAGAAGAAATAGTCACTCACAATAAAGCACAAGAAATGATTGCATGATTCATACTTTAGAGTTAAGAGAATCTGGGTATAGGGAACTATTGGCATTAAAGGGGAATACTTCAAGAAGGAAATGCAGCTTCAAATAGGCCTTGAAGAAGGCATTTTATCTGCCTAAACAAAAGAACCATCTCTTCACAGACATTAACTTGGGTGGGAGATTCACGAAAGAGGGGAAGCCCCACCCAGTCTGTTCCCCTGTCTCCTGCTCTGACCACTTCTCCAGCCACTGCCCCCTTTGTTCTCTCTGCATCAACCATGCACCCCCTTTGGTCTTTTGTCATTGCAGTTCCCACCACCCTGAATGCTCTTCTTCCCCCAGTTAGCCACAGATCTTCCTCCCTCACATCTTTTTGGTTTCTTCTTAAATATTAAATAAGTATGCATTAGAGAGGCCTTTCCTGACAATCTCATGAAAATATAGTAAATCTCCTCCCTTCTTTCATATTTGTCATGGGATTTGTTTATTGTCTGTCTGTCCCCAGTAAATTGAAAGCTCTAAGGGGGCAGAGATATTTTTCTGCTCTGTAAACTGCTATAAGCCCAGTACCCTGAAGGGTGCCAGGCACATGTTAGGCATTCAATAAATATTTGACAAAGGAAGGAAGGAAAGGAGGGAGGGAGGGAAGAAATTAGTTCAGGTAGACCTTGAAAGCTTCAAGTGTTTCAGTTGCAAATATATTAGATGTATCTCATTATCTAGTAAGTCATTTTAAGGTAAACTTACTGATACATTTGAAAGTTGTTTGCCCATGAATTCTTTGCTAGGTAATATTAACATCTACCCCTGCACTCCCTTAAATATTTATCAGTAGCTTAAACTTTAACAAAAGACATGGTTTCCTTTGGCAGAGCAGGGACTGTGCTCGTATCCTAGCTTGTCAATGGAAAGAAAAAGAAATACTGCTGAACAAGTGAAAGATTATCATGGCAGCCACATCCTTAAATGGGAGCAATTGGTAGCCTGCTGCTTCTCAGGCTTAAAGAAGTAAAAGATACTGCCCCAAGCCATTTTCAGCTGGAATTGTAAGAGTATGCACACAAATACACAAAGTTACCCTGACATAAGCGTGAATAAAATATATTATCTGATGCTCAGGAACATTTCCTTCTTCCCTCAAAATGAATAATTTATTGGTTTTCTACCTGCTGTTTCCAAGCTCACATTAATGATTCATTGATTAGTCTCAAAAACAGATGCTTGTAATTAAATCATAGGTTCTGTAAGATCATTAACTGGTTCTCTAATGGCTGAAAGAATTAAGGAGAAATGGGGTAGTTTAAATTCATAGATTCAAGAAGGATTATAGGAAGCATATTCTGTACAAATGTGACATTTGCTGTATTGTTTTCCTTTCTGATAGAAATTTCTCACCTTCTAAATTTTCATTTGTATGGAACTTGTTTTAGTTTTCTTAACATCAGCAGGTTTATTATTTATTCCACCCACAGAAATTCTGACTCAGATGGCTAGTGCAGTGTAGCCTTGTTACTTGTGTTCAGATTTCTTATTGCTCTTTGTTTTATGCCTTAGTTTATCCTTATTAGAATCTCTCCAAAATAATTGATAATTTATGTTGGTCAAGTAGCATTCCATTATCTGTGGTAAAAAATGCTTTATTAATTATACCACATAGGTTTCAGCATGTGCAAAGTCTTCTGAAAGTATCATAAATGATAGTTGTTTGGGAGATGTGATAACTTTTATTTCCATTAATGTTTACATTTCTGCCTCATTCTCAGCTGAGATTGTTACTTATATTTTTATCCACTTGAATCTTGAAGTTAAGGTAAGCTGAATATATCTAATTGTCTTTCATACACATTACTTTGTTCTACAGAAGAAATTTATTAATGGAGTAAGGTGAATATGATAAACTCAAATCAGATTTTCTTCTTATGTCTGCCCCTGAATCCAAAATTGGGGGTGCCTGCTATAAAATCAAGTATGTTTATGAAAACCTTCCCTCTCCTATAATTGCTGGAGTATTCATTCAGAGCTCTCACTTGCTATATAATTTCTAACCAAACACTTTCCAGGGAATGTACAACAAGGAAGTACATGGACAACACTCAAATTCAAATGTCCATAGATGGTGGAATTTTACCACTCTTTAGCTTACAAGCTCAATCAACTGAAACGTTTCAGAAATGTTTGTGTTTGGGGTTTGGGTTTGAGATGTGAAACAAATGACATCCTTAAACATGTTATTGTTAGTCTTCAAGGTACATATGTGTACCTTGATATAGAACTATTTATAGTTACAGTTTGCTAAAAAATTATTATAATGAAATTAACTTTGGGAGGTAGATGTTAAAGTACCAGCTTGTAAAAAGAATGTTTAATGCCAATCATTTGTATGTTTAATACCTGTGTGCTCAATGTAGTGTCATCTTTACTAGATGATTTACTTCACAATGTTTTCATTCCTGTTCCCCAAATGAAAATAAGTAGTCTATTAACTAATTTACAGCTCTTAGTTTTGGATACTATTGCAGAGACACAGGAGCACTTTTAACTCAAACACTATGGTTTACCATAGTTTTGCGGTGGTATGAAATTGAGTTAGCACTGCAATGCAATATTGAAAAAATCAGAATGCAATAAAGAAATGTAGATATCACCTGTGACTACTTCATGTACTACCCAGACTCCTCATTTATTGTTTGAACCCAAGGGTTAGTTTTTTATCTTGCCAAAAGGACATGATCAGGAAGTCAGTGTGATACCGTCTTGCTGCAGTGCAGAAGTTTTAAGAAGCAAGATACTTTTTAATGATGTACTATCACAGGATAGAAGTTATGCCCTACATGAAACTACGTATTCGCAGAAACTTTGTGTCGTCAATGTGCATCTGTTCTTACTAGTCTGGAGGGAAACAAATAAGATTTCCAGTTTTCTGCTGATCCAACACCATTTCCCATAGGCAGCACAATACACCAGCACACAGTTAGCAGCACTTTGGGACAAAACTGTTGAAAGGAAAGAAACAGTGATTATTCTGAAAACATGTAAAGCAACACTGATCATAAGTAATTTTTGTTAGGTGGGACAATACTATATAATATGATTTCTTGTGTCTAAATTTTCTCTAAAAGATTATTTGGGCTGGGTCCAGAAGGCTCCAATTTCCCTAAGCAACCTTGATCATCAATGTTGTCATGCTTCAGCTTTTGGCAGTTTTGATTCATTACCAATTATTAATATCATTATTTAAATATGAATATTGTCCCTTCCCATTATGAAAAGCTATTACAAACATATATGGATTTATATAAAGGTTGATGACTATATGCTTTTTTATATTAGAAAATCATGTGAAAACAAAATTAATCTGATGAATGCTGTTAATTATTTTAACTTTTTTATTAGGTATAAAATGTTCATAAAATTATTCTCTCTATAACTTACCAAGATTTATTAGCTTGTGTAATTTTTATAATCAGAGGAGTCTGGTTTTCTAATTAAAGTTTTGTCAAAGAAAATGAATGTGTGGCTCTTTCCTTCCTTGGAAGCATACTGTAAAAATGCCAAAAATGCAATCCAGGTTTTCTCTCCTCCTCTATGTGGTACGCAAATGAAATTGTATGCAGCCAACACACCTGGATCTGGGGCTATTTTCAATTCCCACTATCGGCCTGAGGTAGGGTGATGCGGTGGTGGAAAAAGCCTTTATGCATATCTGAATACCATTAGAACAAGTTAAAACCAGGAAGTTCATGTAATTAGCTGATTATACTGGGGTCCTAATCATGCTTTCTTAAAAGTCACTTTTCCTGTCTACTTTCAATTTGAGAGAAAGCGCTAACATGATGTCCTAAACATTATCAGCTTTCCTCCAGGAAGAGCTGTCAAGTCTCTGAGCCTCATAAGCCTTAATTATTCCATTTCAAATGCCAAATGAAAAACATTATTATTACTGAAAATATAATCTCTGAATCTCAAAACCCTGATATCCTAGGAAATAATGACAAGAACAATCAGGGGAAAAGACAAGCACTAAATCACATACAATGTCACTGCCCTTGCCAAATTTCCTAAAAAATGACAACCAAAAAAGAAAATATTATCAGAAATAGCTATTATTTGAAACTTTTATTCTCCAAAGAGCCCACCTTACCAGTTTGCTGGAAGCAAATTGTATGGGATAAATTAAAAGAGTGACAAGCAAGAAAACTACCTCCAAAAATATCAACTTCAGGGCCATGTTTCATTGTCATTTCACTCCTTTGATCTTGAAAGCTTACCAGTTCCCTTAGAGATCCCTGTCAAGATGCAAAGGTCTCTGGAAAAAGTAATATGGTAGGTCCATAGTTGTGAATACTAACAGCTCAGTTATCATTTATTCATTAACAACTTAGCAGGGATTAGCAAAAATGGGAGCTGGCTTTTTTCCTCTGAGGGATGATTTGTTATGCTCTAATTGGAAAAAAAAAAAGAAAAGAAAAGAAAGTTTAGGATGAGAAAAATTTTACTTCCTCCTTATTTTACCAAAACCCAGAATTCCTTAAAAAAAAAAAAAAAGTCAATCCAATGTACATAATTTTAACACAAGGGTCACATGTCTCAAAATACCCAAAACTGCATGGTAATGCCACAACTGGCTGTCAGGTAGATATTTTACTATAAATAACACTATTCAAGCTATTATTTACTATTACCTGCCATATCTAAGCATGGAACTGTCCATATGGGCTTATAACCTCAGTTTATAACCTCTGAGCCTGTGCATCATGCCTTACATATTAAATAGTCCACAGATCACCAACAGTCTAGGTATGAATGCTAATCTAGGCTAAACTAGGCTCTCTGTATCCTAATAATTCAGGATGAATGGAATGTTTGCCATAGAAAGGAGGTAGCTGTATCTTCCTTCTGTATTGTACAGCAATTCCTTATGTATTGCACAGCAATGAGCCTGCAGCTGAATTTCTATGTCTAGTTGAGGGCAAGCTGCTTCCAGAGTGTCACTGATGAGCTGGAGCATGTTCAAACAGGATGACCAGTATAATGAGGTGTCTGGAGATCGTGTCATCTGAGCAATTGTTGAAAGGGCAGGCAATTTTCTTTTCTTGTATTTTTTTTCTATAAGGCAGGAGTCCTCAGGGGAACAAGTGAGCTCTCTTCAAATATTTGAAGAACTGCTTTGTGAAAAATGAGTGAGATTTATTCTGATTAGACTAAAAAGTAGGCATAGATATCAGATCAATGCAGGGAGGAACTTTTTTATTGTACATGATTGCTGTACAATACAAAAGGGAATAAAAGTGGCCTACTGGACCAAAAGGACCTTGATAATTGCCATTTGGTAAACTGGCAGTTACAGTTTATTGAAATATGAATCTAATAGTAAAGAGAAAACCAGTAAATATCCATGTCATCTCAAAAGGATGTGATGAGGACTACACATTACTAAAAATTCAAGTCAGGGTGGGACAGAAAATGAACATATAAGCAATATGCCCATATAGTCAGACTTTCAGAAAGCATTTTAGATAATATTATCAAAATCTTACTTGCAAATTGCTCAGGCTATACATGCTCCCATGGTTGAAAGGCTGACAGTATCAACAAATGAATAGAAATGAATCTTGCTGAAGGAAGGTGTCATCTGCAGCCCCTGGAGTCAAACATTGTTTTACATCTTCATTATTGATTCAGAACAACTGATAAATGAAATCTGCAACTGATAATAAAGCAGGCAATGTCCCCAAACCTCACAGGAGAGGAAAATCAAAAAACACAAGCATAAAGATGTTAAAGATGCAAGCATTAGAGGGAACACAAATGAATTTGGCTCAGAAACACACTGGGAAATTTACCAGAAACTCGGATTTGGAGGTGCAGTTAGGAGAAACACACACACAAAAAATAGTTAGGCTAACAGAGCTGAACGAAGATATGAGAAAGCAAGCTGAGAGTGCATTTGTAATATTTATAAGTAATAAATAGGACAATGCTATTTGGGGTGACTTGCAGTATAAAACTGAGAGATGAAAATAGTTTTTAGATACCACTAAAATGGAGAGGGCTGGCCATTTTTAATCCCAGAAGGGTTTGAGACAAACTGGGAAGATCAATAGTGAGAGAAAAGGTTGGAAGCAGTTAGGTTAATACACATACAAAAATAGGCTGTGGCTCAGGAAAAATAGAGCAGTGACACACAGTGGCGATGCAAGTCAGGAGGAAAATAATAAATCTCAACCAGTGAGCCCAAGATATTCAGCACTTGTTCAGCCTGTTGGGTTCTCATGGTGACCGGTGCTTGAAAAAGCAACTGACAGCATTTCTCAAGGCAGAGAACAAGTGCCATTATCCCACTACTATGAAAACTACAGGAGATAGAAGGGCATGCTATTTGGTATAAACCAGCGTTTCTGAATTTTCAGGTGCAGAGCCTTTCTCCAAAGGCCAATGCAGAAATCAAACATTTATAGTAGATGAGCACAACAGCTCTGAGCCCAGGAGCCTATCCCTCAGCCTCCCTGGATAATTTTGAAAACCAATGGTAAGTGAAAGGGCAGAAGATCTCTTTTGTTATCTCCTTTGTTTCAAGCACCTCTAAGTGGCTGAAGACAACAGTTAGGCTTGTCTACAAAATGAATGAATTCAATTAATGACATCTCAGGCTCCTTCCTTCTCTGGTCACAGTAGGTATGGGCTCTGCAAATTTAGCAAATGAAAATCATGATATCCTAACTGGTACTAACTGAACTATGCCAGAAAACCAGACGTTCTTCCTAGGTCAGCTTCCACTTGCTCTCCAATATTTATTGCCCAGCCTTCTATCCAAGCTGCAAACATCTAGATTCTGCTTGCACACATCTTATAGTGGGAGGCTGACTCCCTTGTGAGGCAACACATTCTGTCTTTAGACAATTCTTAGTAAGTTCCTCCCTGCATTGATCTGATATCTAAGTCTACTTTTTAGTCTAATCAGAATAAAACTCACTCATTTTTCACAAAGCAGTTCCTCAAATACTTGAAGAGAGCTCACCTGTTCCCCTGAAGACTCTTGCCTTACAGAAAAAAAAATACAAGAGAAGAAAATTTCCTGCCCTTTCAACAATTGTTCAGACGACACGATCTCCAGACAGCTCATTACGCTGGTTATCCTGTTTGAACATGCTCTTGCTCATCAGTGACACTCTGGAAGCAGCTTGCCCTGAACTGGTCGCAGAACTTCAGCTGCAGGCTGATTGCTGTACAATACAGAAGGAACATTTATTACCTCCTTCTTGCAGCCTAAGGTCATATTAGCTGTCTCTGCGGCCACATCACACTGTTGCCACAAGCAGGATACAGTCATCACACAAACAGAGGATTATTACTTCTCAGCCACTCTTCTGCTATCTTCTTACTGAGTAAACATCGAGAACTCAGTCCTTTGTGATGTACTAATATGAAACAGGAAAGGGAAAGCCCTAGGTGGCCATGATATAGTTAGTGCCTACGTTTCCAAGAAGCCAACACCAGCGCAGGAGAGAAGTTATTTTTTGCCAGCTTCCCTGACTCGAACCCTATGTAACATCCTCAAAAAATTTTGATCCAAAAGCAATTTCTGTGTCCACTGCTCTATCAGGAGTGACTCATTTATTTACTCAGGCAGCCAATGTTTATTGGTATCCCCATCTATCCTTTCATATTTGGGGATTTAATTCCTAATTTGGACAACATTTTATAATTTCTAGGCTGTGGAAGAGAATGAGCAGTAGACAAATCCCACCTTCCTTCTATTTTTATTTACAAAATTTTGTTTACAAAATTGCAGGGCATTCAACCAGTTCTCTCTAAAGCAGTACTGTATGCTCCCCTTCCTTCACAGGAGAACAATTATTACTCATCATACCTGCTGCATCTAAAACATAAAAGGTATGTTCTAAAGTGTTTTGTCCTAGATACCAGAAGTCATTTTCCATCTCACCTGTGAAGAGCTTCTCCTTGCCCATGATGCCATTGGCTTTCTGGAAGACAGGTTAGTCTTCTGAGTCTCCCAAACCTCTATGCATATCCTAACTGTGTAATTTTCAAGCCATGGAATATTTGGCAAGTTGCCTAACTTCTCTGAGCTTCTTGTCCTCACAGATAAAAATACGTTTTATCATATTCAAGTGGCCAAAACTCATTATATGTTTACTTTTCTTCTTCTACCTGGAATTTTCTGAGTGTGGTTCAACCAGGTGACATACAGGTGTCCTCATTACAGTCTTCACAGCTGAAAGGCACTAGCTATTATGGAATTTCAGGTGTTTCCTTCACAGCCCTTAAGCCTCTCCTGACCCCATGGGCTGTAGAACATGCAGAAACACTTTAGCCACCAGAAGGCCAGTCTCCAGGACTACTCATTCTTTCCCAAGTCTAGGATGCTGCCATGTTGAAATGTTTCTTCAGTCTTTCATTCAGTCATCCACATGCAGCAATGATTACTTGAGCAATTAGTCCATGACAGGCTCCAGGATAAACACAGGAGATATAAACACTCTGTGCCAAACAGTGTATATTTTAGCAGGTGAAGACCAACGTGGTTTTCAAAAGTGCTAAATGAAATAATATGTTATTTGTTTAGATTAGAAGGAGATTTAAACATACAGATAAAAAAGTTTTATGCTCAAACTTCCATAACACATAACTGTGATGCCCTAAGCACTATATTTCTTCTCCCAAGTCCCTGGTAGTGCTGGACATCTGGAGTTTTCATTCTCAGCCATTTCCCACAGTGATTTGCATCTAAAAGTTTTGTCTTCCCTAGGGCCCTTTCACTCTTTTGTTCCTCCTTCCTAGAGAGCTATAATTTATCCCTGTGCCATGTCCTCCAAATTCACCTGCAAAAGAAACTTCTGGCTACCAGGCTCCACCCATGTCAGAAGGTAATTGGAGGTTATAAACAAAGTCCATACAAAGTATGAAAGAGCACAAAGGAAAGAATATTTGCTTCTAAGTGAGTGGAAGTAGAGTGTGAGAAAGAGAACGATGTCATAGAAAACATTTGTAAAGTAGATCACAAACTGTGAGGAGAGAGAAACCTATTTGCCTTATTTGCCATTGTTCTCCTTGGAGCATAACTGGATCAATCAAGTGTTCAGATGCTAAAGAAGATTGAGACATAAAATTTGTCTACATTTTCAGGCAAAGAGAAAAGAAAAAGAAAAAAACTCCGTGTCTTACCCAGAAGACACAGAGTTCATGACTCTTCTCAAATGAAAAGTCAGGGAAATTTGCTGCATTCAGAGTCTAGTTAGAATAAATTTTGTGTAGCCCCTGACACTAATCCCACGTAGCTTTACCCCACACTACCTTGGCCCTTGGCAGAGAGGACTATCTCAAGAGTTAAAGTTTTGTTTGGTGAGCTTAGATTTAAAAGTTAAGACATTATGTGGTCTTAAGGATGCTTCCCTCAGGCTATAATGGAATCTAGCGGGCCGTCATCTGTCACTCAAAGTAAAGCAAATTATTACTTGGATTTCAGTTGTCCTTGCATGCATCTTTTGTTCTCACCGACACCAAGTTTGAAGTAGAGCTCAGCACATCTTTCCATTTCTGAGAAGAGAAAAAAAAAAATCTGCTCACATCCAGAATGTTAGTGAACGTAGGGATTACAGGAAGATTTAGGAATGGAGATGAAAAGGTTTTATGACGAAAGTTTCTTTTTTAAAACTTTTTATTTCCATAGGATTTTGGGGAACAGGTGGTATTTGGTTATGTAAGTAAGTTCTTTAGTGGTGATTTGTGAAATTATGGTGCACCCATCACCCGAGCAGTATACACTGCACCCAATTTGCGGTCTTTTATGTTCAAACTTTCATAGCAAATAACTGTGATGCCCTCAGTAATGTGTTTCTCCTCCCAAGTCCCTGTTAGTGCTGGACACATAGAGTTTTCTTTCTCAGCCATTTCCCACGGTGGTTCCCATCTAAAAGTCTTGTCTTCTTAAGAGCTCTTTCGATCTTTTGCTCCTCCTTCCTAGAGAGCTATAATTTATCCCTCTGCCTTGTCCTCCAAATTCACCCGTTCTTGCTCAAGCCCAGATGTAAAAAAGAATCTTCTGGCTACCAAGGCCCACCCACCTTAGAAGGCAACTGAAGGTTATACATAATAGTCACAAGAAATGTATATTTACTTCATCACATGTTACTAAACAGCATTGAAAGTTTGACAAAACTTTCTTCTTTCAGTATTTCTCATTTCCACATTTCCGATTTTCATTATTTTACACCATGGAGCTTGAAATTTGAAATATTTGGATTTATTTCAAATCTTATATCTACTTCTCACCTACTTGAATGTGACCTTGAGAAAGGTATTTAACTTTTTTTTTTAATTTTTTTTTCCCAAGACAGAGTCTTACTCTGTTGCCCAGTCTGGAGTACAGTGGTGCCATCTCGGATCACTGCAACCTCCGCCTGCTGGGTTCAAGCAGCCTCAGCCTCCAGAGTAGCTGGGACTACAGGCATGTGCCATCACGCCCAGCTAATTTTTGTATTTTTAGTAGAGACCAGTTTTCACCATGTTGGCCAGGCTGATCTCGAAATCCTGACTTCATGATCCACCTGCCTCGGCCGCCCACAGTCCTGGGATTACAGGCATGAGCCACCACACCCGGCCGTATTTAACCTCTTAATGTCTTGGTTTCCTAATCTCTTTAAAGTGTAAATGTATTGATTCTATGAATGTTGTTGAGAGATTACTGTCTACTATTTGTGCATTTATTCATTCATGAAATAATTATTTTATATATTCATATGAGTGCTTATCGGTTTGTATGACATAATTAATATAAAACTCTTAATATAGAGTTTATTATGTTGAGTAAGCCATTACCATTATTACTATTTTTTTCATTTTTGAGAAAAAGCCTATAAAAATTTCCACTACTTCGAAAATGTATTCCTCCTGATCTTTGAACTTGTATTCATTCAGCAATTGCCTTCTGTTTCTCCATCCATTTATTCCTGCCTCAACTTTGAGGAAACCAGGTATGTTGGGCTTTTTGACTACTTGAATCTATTACTCATCTCATATTTTCAAAGAATTGGAAGATAATGACCTTTATTTAACATCATCACTGTATTAATTATAGAGCACTCTTTCTTCAGTACCTTAAAAGCATAAGCCAAACTCCTGTTATCACTGAGTTGGGGATGTATGGGAGTTGAGGTATCTTGATCAAGTTCCAAATTGGCTAATTTTATTGTCCATCAATAGAATGAAGAAGTAAAACATGTTACCAGTTTTTATTGATTTAAATTTTATTTTATTTATTTTATTTTATTTATTTATTTATTTTATTTAAATAACTCTTAAAAATTCAGTTTGCATTTTCCTTTCTTTCAACTTAATCTTCTCATTATACTCATCAAGTCAACCCAGATGACGTTGGATAAAACAGAATTAGCTTTCCCTACAGATCGAAGCCCAGATAGCAAATCCCTGAAATAAATAAAGTATTGTGGTTTTAAACCACTAAGTTTTGGGGTGGTTGTTATGCAGTAATAGATAACCAGAACACTACTATAATGTAATATCTGAAATCATGAAAGGCAGAGTATCAGGACTGGAAAACACTCTGGAAGCTAGCAACAGAAATCTTTTTATCTTTCATAAATGACCTTAGTAGACTAAAAGAAGTAAAATGACTTGCCTATGGTCAAAGAGATAGAATTTACACAACTAGAACATACATAATTTGCCTTTCCTTTCCATTATTTAGGGCTTCTTCCTGGGCTGTCTTTATTTTTTATGTCCTCCTTTTTTTCTGGAATAATTTTAACTTATTTGAAATATTTTTCTTTCTAAAATAATTCATGACTTATTTTGATTCACATTAAACATTTATAAAGGGATAATATACTTGGTATATTTATTTTACATTTTTTTAACCTAAGTGATGCATAGTTACAACTTGTTCTCCATCACCTATATCAAAGCCAAAACTTGTAAAAGGAAGTTTTTTTTACATAGTTTCAAGGCATTACTTTTTCACCCTTAAGGTGGAGACATGAAGCTGAATATTCCCGAGCAGGAATTTATGACAAAGAGGAAATGCCCCACCAGAGAGTGAAAAGCTCTTTCCAGGCTAGTTGAAGTGTAGAGACAGGCAAAGGTAGAAGTGTACAGGAAACGTGTCCCAGCTTCCCTTCATTGTGCCAAAATCCCAGTTATAGAAAGCCATTTTATATATGTTAAGGAAAAACTGAAAGCAAAGGAGTTTTTCCTTTGTTCTACCTTGAAACCTTGGGAAGAGTATGCTGGGATAATAGGCTCAAAGTCAACGTGGAGCACTTTAGCACAATGAAGCGGCTAGGGAAAATGACCAGAAATAAATGCTTCTCTTCACAACCTTCATAGGGAGTGCAGGGACAAAGAACCTGCTGAACTTTCAGAATGGAACCAAGGGACACTGAAGGAGCCAGTAGATTGATGGGACCTGGAAATCAGGCCCAAATGACATAGAGAATTCACTACTCATAACAATAGGTAGGACCACAGCCTTCAGCAATCTCTGTCAGATGGGACAATTTGTACCTCAACAGTCACCAGTTCAAGGGCCAAACCATACCATCCAACCCATAGCAAAGAACCTAGAGGATCCAGAGAAGACTGAATGAATCTGAAAGCTCCTCCACTCTCCCCTTCATGTATTTAGAAGCCTTATTGCCAGAAAGGGGAAAGGGAATCATCTGAAAAATGAGTATTTAACTAAAAAAAAAAAAGGATTATCTCAAAAACTATTTAAACTAACACTGATAGGGAGTTCCATTTTACTGATCGTTTGACTGAAATAGGCTGTATCAACCAGAAGAGACTGATACACCAAGCCCAAGTGTTCTGCTTTAGAGTGAGGCACCAACTCATGAAGAAGCCTGGCAAAAATAAAAGACCACACTGCAGATCAGCATAGTGGTTTGCCTCTTATTCCTCATGAAAACTAAAAACAAACAAGCCATTTAAGATATAAAGATGGCATATGCCCACAACAGCAAATATGACCAGATACACAACTACAGCAGATAAGAGATGTCAACAAAGTGTTGGAAACTTGAAAGCAGATGGACGTTTAGTGACTGATCTAGAAGACTAAATAAGGCTGAAAACTAAGACTACAAGGAAGCAACTACTGAGAAGCACACCAATTTTCACCACAGAATACAAGAAAGTTTCACAGATTGAATAAGCAGGTTATCTGGAAGCTGGTAGTATGGGTGGATCTAAAAGCAAGAGTTAAATTACTCACCCACATCCAGTCATCCTCCATAGACCAGCATGGGGCCAGTGGAAGATGAAACAGATGAGGGGCCTAAGTTCACAAGACTCCACATAGGGTTTAGATGCTTTTTGTCTTGTGGGAAAGAAGGCCATTGGATGTGGGAACAACTAGAAGAGTGGGAATAGATGAAAAGATGAAAAAGAGAGGACTGTGGGGAAGTCATGAGGACTGAAAGGAACACAGAAGAGGGGAGCATGGAGATTCATGAAAGACACCCTCCAAGGACCTATTTGACAAGGCCCTGTATACTTGTGTGTGGGAAAAATAAGGTATAAGATAGATATACCAGGAACAATCCCCAGGCTTTTGATGTTGCAGTGTTTCAAATCACTGGTTGAGCATCCCTAATCCAAAAATTCAAAATCTGAAATGTTTCAAAATCCTACACTTTTTGAGCGCCAACGTGATGCTCAAAGGAAATGCTCGTTGGAACATTTTGGATTTGAGATCTTCTAATTAGGATACTCAACTGGTAAGTATAATGCAAATATTCCAAAATTTGAAAAAATCCAAAATCTTAAACACTTCTTCTCCCAAGCATTTTGAATAAGGGATATGCAACCTGTATTAGCTTGAACCACTTGGTAAAATAATGTATTAAACCTCCACTGGGTCTGGTGATAAACTGTCTTAGGTAGATGGAAGGAGCTCACTAACCCCAAACCCTGTAGCTGCCACACAGACCCTGGCCCACCCCATTACAAAGTGGAAGGAAAGGAATAGGACTAAAGAGCAAACAACTCCAAGTTCAAAACCTTGAGTTCAGTTCTTTTGACAAATCCCCAGAAGGTTGCTAACATCTTCCCCTGCAGATCAGAAAGAAAAGTCTCTGATCCTATAATTGTACTATTAAAGTTAGGATAGTGGAGTAGTTAAATACAAACACAGAGATTGGAATCCCTAAACTTGGTTTTAATCCCTGCCCCGATACTACCTAGTTAGTCATTTATTTACCCAGCAAATATTTAATGAGCATCTACTATGCACCAAGCATTGTTCTAGGCACTCAGAATGCATCAGTGAAAAGATAGACAAGGTTCCTGCTCTCATCAGTCTTACATTCAAAGAGAGACAACTAATGAGGAAATATATTTTGAAGAAAAAGACAGTTATAATTATCGTTAGAAAGGAAATAGAGTAGTGTGAAAGGGAAACTTAGAAAGAAGCCAGAAAAGTCCTCTTTGTGAAGATGACAATTGACCTGACCCCTGAGGAAGCCAGTCACACAAAATATCCGTGAAGAGAAGAGAGTGGCAGGAAGAGAGTATAACAGGGGCAAAGGCTGTGATGCAGGAAAATCACGAGGAAGGCCAGCATTTCTAGAGTCCAGTGAGCAAAAGAAAAGTGGTGTGAGAAATATTGGAGAACAAGGTACCTGAAGAACTTGAATATTTTTCTAAATACAGTGAAAGTCCATTAAGGGTTTTATGTTCATGGTTGACAGGCTCTTTTAAAAAAATATATATCAAATGATTTTTTTTAAATATCAGTTGGTTAAAGAAGGAGTTGCCAGCAAAGGAAAATGAGAAGAAATGAACAGTGAGATGCATGGAAAACTTGGAGAGTCAGGTGTCAAAAGACAAAGCCAAGAGAAGAAAGAGAAAAAAGTGACTCTCTGGGTATAATGCAAATTAAAATCTTGAATGGAATAAGAAGAGAAACATATGCATTAAATTCTGAAAGATGGGAGTCATTGGCAAATATGAAAATAGCATCTTGAGTGGAGTGGGAGAAGGCAGCCAGACTGCGGGGGCTTGAAGTGAGCTTGAAGAATGACTGGGAAATGAGGAAGTGGAGACAATGAGGGGAGACAACCCTTTCAAAATGTTTTGCCTTGGCCAAGAGCCAAGAGATGAGGTGGTAGCTCAAGGCGCTGTAGAATCCTGGAGTGAAGGAAAAAGAATGTCAAGTTGTATGCTAGTGGGAACTTCCAGTTGAGAGGGAGAGGGCGATGATGATCAAAAAGAGATGTAGACCTTAAAAATATACAATAAAAAAATAAGAAAAAGAATGGAAGAGGGTGTGTGACTGCAGCTGCACAATGTTGAGAAGAGAATGGACTTGGGGTATTTCATACATTGTAAAGGTGGGGGGAAAGACTGAGAACATATATATATATGTGCATGTATAAATATGTAAATGTGAATCTGGCTCAAAATATAAGGAAGTTTTTCTGTATTCCTTTACATTTCTCAATGAAGAATGAACAAAAAGAGATGGGAGAGGGGAAAGTTTGAGGAGAGAGAAGAAACTATTAAGTAGACTTTTTTAAAAGTGGGAAAGTGCATAAGGCAGGTACCAATCTTATCTCACAGCATTGTTGTACAGCAAATGTAACTTTCTATACTCTTTTATAATGGAGCTTAATCTGCAAAACTCCACTAGGTGATGGAAGCTTAATGTTAGCCAATTTGGGAGCTTACTCTTTTCTTAAAGATTATATTTGATTTCTAGTATTGGCTGGGGGCTTAAATAGTGCCTGGGCATGAGGGTTGTGACCTAGTGGTTATCAAAACCACCCCGGCATCCACCAAGATGTCTTTGTTCCTATTCTGTCTTGACTCTTGAACTCACAGAGATCATCTTAAAGTTGTCCCTGGTCTCCAGCTACAAAGCCCTTTCAAGGCCACTTTACCCTTAACTAACTTTGTTCCACTATGAAACATGAGATTGTTCCACTGCCAGAAGTAAGGATTTTAGAAGTATTAATGTCAAGGATTGGGAAGAGGGACAGACAAAAGGTCATTTGATGTGCGGATATTAAAGAACTGATAGTTCAGGCTGTTAACTGGCTCATTTATATGGATATTACAGTTATCATAAATGATGACAGAACTAGAGATAGGAAGACAAAAAGTCGGGAGTCAAAGTCTTACAGGAAAGATTGCAAGACAGGAGGCCAGTAGTCAGCAGCAAGGTTAAGAAAAAATGATAGAAGAGTTGAAAGCACCAAGTTTCAAAGGACCTGCATTTTTGTTTTGGGGTTTTTGTTTATTTGCTCTGAGATAGGAAAGAAGAGACATGGTTTGGAAGCAACAATTGAGAGCCAGGGATATGCCTACACAATTTTCTGGCCTTGAGTTTTATGAGATGTGAGAGAAAAACGGGGTCTTTATTTGAGAGAGCCATGAGAGAAGCCTCATCATCAAAGGAAACCCAGGTTAGAGAAAAGGCAAGGATGTAGAGGGAGCATTCAGAGAACCATTTGAAGATACAGAGAAATCAGCAAATCACAGTGGAGAGAGGAAGCTAGAGGTTGGATGAGTCTAGAAGTTGCACAGAGTAGAGGAAGATGAGCATCCAGTGTTCTATGGTTTGAATGTTCATGTCCCTCCAAAATGCATATGTTGAAACCTAGCCCTCAAGGTGGTAGAATTAAGAGGTGGGGCCTTTGAAAGGCTATTAGGTCATGAGAGCTCCTGCTCAAAAGGGATTAGTGCTCTTATAAAAGAAGCTTATTGTCCCCTTGCACCATGTGAGGACACAGTGAGAAGATGGCATCTATGAGGAAGAAGGTCCTCACCACACACTGAATCTGCCAGTGCCTTCATTTTGGACTTCCCAGCCTCCAGAACTGTGAGCAATAAACTTCTGTTGCTTATAAGCAACAATGTCTAAGATATTCTGTGACAGTAGCCCAAATGGACAAAGATACAGTTGATAAAAGATGACAGGGAAGGCATGGATATATGACCATCCGAGATTTCTTCAACTCCCTGATCCTGAATTACTTCTGTGTAAATTACTTTACTATGGAAATTACTTCTGTGCATATACTTTTCATTACACATAGAGTAATAAAATGTATATGTACATAGAGTAGATGTAAAAATTAAAGGAAAGTACTGGGAAATATTTATATGCTCAAGCCTGTAAAGAAGGGCATAAAATCAAATATGGACACCCCAATCACCAAAATCAGAACAATCTAAGAAAAATGTTAAGATAGAATAAATGTTAAATCTTAGATGTCCAAGGGTGTGGACTTTCAGAGGGAAGAGTGGACAGGAAGAGCTTTGATATATACTGTCCGAAGGCTCCTGAAAGGTGGAAACTTACCTGGGTCTAGAAGCCTAGGTGGAATTAGTGCAGAGAGAAGAGAGAATTTTCCAGGTACACCAATCTTTAAATTTTTTTTAATTCCCTTGTCACTCCCCTTTGAGGAATAATGCTAAGCCTTCAGGCTCTCTTACATGTGATTCTTTCCACTGAATATCTTGGAATGATGCTCCCTTTTATCATCCCCACGTTTTCTCAGGATCTATTCTCCAGATCTAATTAGTTCGGCACTTCAAAGCCAAAGAGGCTTCTCTCTGTGCTTTTTCAATATATTAACATCAACAAGAAAAGTTATCTTTCACATATCATCTTTTCATCATACCCCTCATTTTATTTTTTCTTTTTCTCTTTAGATTTTCATTTTCTATTAATGCATTCATAGAGTTTGATGCTGTGTTTATTATAAAAGGCAGGTGGTACCAAATTATAAAACAACAGGGGCTATACAGGAAGAAATAAAAATCTTTTAATATTCTTTTCAGAACTTGAGAGTCTTTTCATTTTTCTCTTTTTATAGCACATAATTAAAAATAACTGCCTCCTGTTTAGAGCTCACTATGTGCTACCCACTGGCCTAAATACTTTCTATATCTTATCTCATTTAATCTTCTCATAAACCCCAATGAGGCAAATACTACCTGTATCTCTATGTCCCGATAAGAAATTGAGGTTAGGTTCAGATAGGTTAACTAACTTGCCCAAGATCACAAACCTAGGAAAGGGTGGAGCTGAGGCTTGAATCAAGAGCTTAGCCATGACCATTTAGTATCACTACTTGTGAAATATAAGCCCCTCTTTGACACCTATGAGTAAGTGAATCTAGCCACAGGCCCTTGAATCTATAGACAACCAACATCAATTTTCCAGATCTTCAAGGCTCTGTATTGCAGGCCACGGAAGACAACTAGAATGATTGAAGGATTCATTGAGGAAAGTTCATGAAGAAGCCACTGGTCTTTTGAAAACAAGCTGCAAGATGTCACTCAAACAATTGCCACGAAGATAAAAAGCATTGGCCTCTCTCATAATTTATCTAACTCTGAAGCTAGTTGGAAGGAAACATCTAAAATGAAAATTATAAAGAAAATTTGAAGAGGAACATTTGCGCTCTGCATCTGAAATCATGCTTTCAAAGGCATTGCTGTTGTAGCATTAGGCTCATTCTTATTAGCAAAATTTAAAAAAAAATCTAGCTATAACAAGCCCCAAAACTTTTGGATCTCCTGTCTGGCAGGCAATTTTGCTTTCTTAAGCATTTTGATAAGTCATCTTTGCTCTCCTGCCAAAAAGCCTCTGCTGAGAACACCCCGTTATTAGTACAAATCTAAGGAGTTATCACCCTGTCCTATTTTCAATTGAACTTGACCTTGGAGAAATATTAAAAATGACTTGTTTAGAAGAGAGAAGAAGAGAATTACTTCATTCTCCTGCCTCTGTCAGCTCTTCCTAATCAGAGGAATTTCACACCAAGAGGAACCTGTGACATAATGAATTACTAAAGTGTGAAATCTACCAGAGGAGGTGTGCTGCTGCTCTACAATGATGAGGCTGAAAATGTACTACTGTAAACAGATTTTTATAAGACATCCCTTGTCATTTTGCCAGGTGAGATGAAGTAATTTCCCCATCACTGAATCTTTAGATTTGGACTTAGGAGGAAAGCAAGAAAATGCTTGGTTCTATTTTTAAGAAAAAATTGTTATTATAGTTCACCTTCAATTTGATCTTCAAATTTTATAAATGATGTTACTTACATTTTACAATAAAAGAACAAGAACGTATCAATTTTACCAGCCAGAGATCATTTTAAATTTAACAAGAACTCATATTTTTTTAATTCGGGATTCTTCAAAGTGTGTTCAAGTCCCCTCTGGGGAGAGCTGGATGTTTCTGATCATCTTTTGGGATCCTCCACATTTCACATGGATCAGCCCCACTTCAAACTCATTTTCTTTTGCTTCGTCACCAAGGGCAATGTCTCATAGTCACTGACTCGACTTTCTTCTTTATTTAGCACATCTAGTCAGTCCTCTGCTCCCGTCAATTATTTTAAAGGTGTCTCATTCTGTCTTAGTCCATTTGTGCTGCTATAACAGAATGCCACAGACTGGGTAATTTATAAAGAATAGAGATTTATTTTTCCACTGTTCTAGAGGTTGAGAAGTCCAAGATCAAGGCACCAGCAGGTTCAGTTGTCTGGTGAGGGCTCTCTGCTTTCAAGATGGCACCTTGTTGTTGCATCCTCGAGAGGGAAGGAACGCTGTGTCCTCACACAGGGAAAAGCAGAAGGGTAAGCTAGCCAAATGCTGTGAGAAGCTTCTTTCATAAAAGCCTTAATCCCTTTTATGAGGAAGGAGCTTTCATGCTCTAATCACCTCTTAAAGGCCTCACTCGCATCACATTGGCCAGTAAGTTGCAACACCTGAATTTTGGAAGGGACAGTCAAACCATAGTACATGCCTACCCTTTCACTCCCATTTCCATTACTACCACCCTTCTGGTGCTGGTCTTTGCAATGACCTTTATATGAGGGAAATCTGGCCCTCCTAGCCTATAGTCGGTTCCCAATACCATCAGAATAAAGTGCCAATGCTTCAAAATCACTTACAAAGCCCATGGTCTGGCCAAAAGTTCCATCCTCAGCTTGATCTCCTAACTTCTGCTTCTCCCAAATTCAGTCCCCATCTTCAATAGTTATGAACTGCTTCTAGTTATTCTTCCTTGCTGAGTGGCCAGTCACTATGTTCTCTCTCACTGCTGCATCCCCCACCTCTTCACCTCACCCCTCCATCCCTTGCCTGGTTTCCCCAGTTGCTGTCACCCCATAGGTCTGGTTCGAAGCTGCTCCTGTAGTGTCTGTAGTTCCCCATAATAGGACATTTCCATGTCATCCTATTGCAGACTTGCTTATTTCTCCACACAGAGGAAAATACATGAGTTTTTGTGATGTTTGTTTGTTTTTTCATTACATTTATTCCTAAAGCCTGGCTCAGTGCCAGATTCATAGCAATCACACAATATGTCAAATAAATAGATAGAGTAAAATTCATTATCTAACATGTACCTAAAATGTTATTACCTGCTAGTTTTCTCTCAACATTGATTGGTGTTTGTTTTAGGCAAAATAATGGTCTCAAATATCTCCATGTCTTAACCTCCAGAACCTATGAATAACTAACATTGCAGATGGAATTAAGGTTGATAATAAGCTAACCTTAAAATAAAAAGACTATTCTGGATTATCCAGGTGGACCCAATTTAATCACAAGGGAATTGAATGGGAAAGAGGGAGATAGGAGGATCAGAATGAGAGATATGACATCATAAAAAAGACTCCACCAGCCATTGCTGGCTTTGAAGATGGAGGAAGGGAGTGATGAGCCAAGAACTGTGATCAGCCTCTAAAGCTGGAAAGTCAAGAAAATGAATTTCCCCCTAGAGCCTCTAAAAAGGAATGAACCCCTGCTAGCACCTTGATTTTAGCCAAGTGACTATTGACCATCTCAGACTGTTGACCTCCAGAACTGTAAGTTTAAAAAGAAATGTATTGTTTTAAGCTACTGTGAAAGTTGTCAGAATTAAGATGCAGTCACTAATATTAAGAAAATGGTGACAGGCTGGGCGCAGTGGCTCATGACTGTAATCCTAGCACTTTGGGACATCAAAAAAGGCAGATTGTCTGAGCTCAGGAGTTCAAGACCAGTCTGGGCAACATGGCAAAACCCCATCTCTACTAAAAATACAAAAAAAAAAAAAAATAGCTGGGCATGCTGTCATATGCCTGTAGTCCCAGCTACTCAAGAGGCTGGAGTGGGAGAATCACCTGAGCTGGGGAGGCAGAGGTTGCAGTGAGCTGGGATCATGCCACTGCACTCCAGCCTGGGTAGCAAAGCAACATTATGTCTCAAAGAAAGAAAGAAAATGGTGACAGATAGAGCTGAGGAAGGCCATGAAGAGAGGGTTCTCATGCCTGTATATCTGATTTAAAAAAAAAAAATCAGGCACTACAAAAACTAACAATTTGCATAAAGGCTTTCCACAAAAAATACTTCTGCAAAGAAATCTGCCCAGTAACTCCCTGTCCAGCCTTGGACTGGCATCACGTTTGTTATTGATCTTTGTAGACAAGGATAATTGCTTCAAAACAATAATGTAATTCTTCTCATTTTTAATTTTAAAAACTATCAAGCAGGTGCACTGGCTTACACCTGTATTCCCAGCACTTTGAGAGGCCGAGATGAACAGATCACTTGAGGTGAGGAGTTCAATACCAGCCTGGCCAACATGGTGAAGCCCCATTTTTACTAAAAAGTAGAAAAATTAGCCAGGCATGATGGCACACGCCTGTAATCCTAGCTACTAGGGAGGCTGAGGCAGGAGAATAGCTTGAGCCTAGGAAGCAGAGGTTACAGTGAGCAGGGATAATGCCACTGCACTCCAGCTTGGGAGACAGAGTGAGACTTTGTCTCAGTAAATAAATAAATAAATAAATAAATAAATAAATAAATAAATAAAATAAATAAAGTGAAAACTTTCATCTTCCTTTACCTCCCTGAATATGCACATAGGTTACTATGACATGTGTATTCTCATTGCAATGCTCTATTCCCAAACAAATATATTTTCTTTTAGAGATTCTCTCTCTGTTATTTAGGTTGACACTAAGTTTGTGGCGATTTGCTACAGCACCAATGGGAACCTAACACAGTCTTCCATCAAATTTTCATCTTGGGTTAAGTTCTTTTTATGTAGAAATGTTTAGCAACTTCCCCAATCTGGGGTAATGCTTCTTCATGGAGGGGTGTGTGTGTCTGTGTGTGTGTGTTGTGTGTGTTGGAGTGGGGCATAGAAGGTGAATAGACATCAGATCACCCCAAAAGTTCTTCCAAAATCTACCATCTTAAATAAGGCAGTGATAGAACGGTGTATCAGGAAAGAATTGGAGAATATTTTTCAAAATATTCAAGTCTCCCTCTACACACAAACATACAGAACAGAGGACCACTGCTCTAGAATCTGTGTCTGTTGACCTTCTCGTCCTTGAACCAATACAATTTCCTCCATTCAGAGAAAAAAGTGTCTGACAGTTCTCATAAGGATACTCAGGAATGAAGCCCAAAGCCAGGATGGGAAAGAAAGGAGTCCTATTTCCAGGTTTGGAGGTGGGGGGAAAGAGCACGGTGAACTAAAATGGCACAAACTACTTTGGAAAACAGTATGAATGCAAGAGATGATGTGCTCTTTCTATTTTAATAAACTACATTCCACCAACAAAAGATTTAAAAAGACTTCAAAGCTGAAGGAAATTCAAACATTCCTAGAAATGGCAACTGCTTACTCACTTAAAACCGGCTGTCAGGACTGAACTGGTTGGGGCCCTCAGAGAGCAGAGTTCAAAATAATCATTTTGCAGATGAGGAAATCAACATTGAGAGGGGGACTTGTCCTAGTCACACATGTTTGTGGCGATGACAATTTTAATTCCAGTTTCAGTGCCTTCTCTCCCTACCCCACTTTCTCTATAATCACAGGTATGGGGCAATACATGCAAGCCTCACCTTCAAATGATGTGATTTTGATCCCTAAAATAAACCCTGAACTTCCAAACCTGCACCATCAGAAAGCTGGCTGAGAACCCTCTACAGCTTTCAGGAAGTGCACACTCTCCAGTGACTACTTCAGATTTAGTAGTAGACAATAAAAAGCCAAAAAGGATGTCTAAAAGACACCACTGGAGCCCAAAGAATCTAAATGGTAAGGGATTCCTTCCAGTGGGAAGAACCAGCACTACCAGATAGAGCTGATTAAGGAATTTACTTCACTGCTTGGGTTGGGAAGTATCAAAACACCTGCTGAGTTGGATTTGCTAGATGCCATAGCTCTCTGTGATTCAGTACATCCCTTTCTGCACTTTTCTGAGTGGAAGTCTTCATGGTAATTACCCAGTTCCCACCCTCACCATTGTCTATTGTGTGCAGTTGGGGGTGAGGGGTAATAGACCATAGGGTGACTCACCCAAACCTGATAGAAATGACTCACATCACCCTGAACTTCTGGGCCCTCCTAATGCAATTTACCAGATGAGACTTTGTAGTTGTCTTTCTTGATGGGAATGGAGCAGGTGCCGAAGTGTGTCCTGTCAGTGAGAAGAAGGGTGCACATAGGTATTTGGCTGGAAGAGAGATAAGCCATGGGAGAGACTGCTATATGTCTCTCATTCTCTCCTTCTCTCTCATAATAATTAAACTTCATGTTCTAGCCATGGGATAACATGCCCCTCAACAGAATAAAGACCGCTTTTCTTAATCTTTGTCATAATTAGATGTGGCCATGTGACTAAGTTCTAGCTATAGAATTGTGAAATAAAATGATGTATGAGACAATGAAACTTCCAAGTTATGTCCTTAGAACAGACATGCTTTTTCTCCTTTCCACCCTCCTGCTCTCTGGATTGTGGAAACAATGGGAGGAGCTGGAGAAAACCACCTTGATCATTGAGATGGATGCTACACATTGAGAATGGCAGAGCAACAGGTGGAAAGAGCCTGGATCCCTGATGAGTGAATACATTCATCATAATATCACTAGACCACTTACCAGAGAAACAAACTTCTGACTTATTCCAACCACAATCATTTGCACTTTCTATTTTAGATATTGTGAGGGGATTGTGAAACAAGTTGATGACTGTACTTGCAGGCCTGTGATGTTGGTTTATAATTAAGAGTTAAGCAAAATAACAAAAACTATAATATGATTAAGTTCCAAAATATCTTATAAACTGGATTCATGAACTTTTTATTTAGAGTCATGGCCCCTTCTAACAGCGATAAAGCAAATAGAAATACAATCATTATTTAGATATGTAGATCAAGAAAGTGGAAAAAGAACAAGCCAAACACTTAAATAATGATGGACCCACAATCAGAATTTTTAGAATTTAGTGCTACTGATCACAACCTCATTTCTTCTAATAGCAGCTTCATCCTGAGATGGTCAAGAAGACATTATAGCCCGGCGCGGTGGCTCACGCCTGTAATCCCAGCACTTTGGGAGGCCGAGGCAGGCGGATCACGAGGTCAGGAGATCCAGACCATGGTGAAACCCCATCTCTACTAAAAATACAAAAAATTAGCCGGGCGCGGTGGCGGGCGCCTGTAGTCCCAGCTACTCAGGAGGCTGAGGCAGGAGAATGGCGTGAACCCGGGAGGCGGAGCTTGCAGTGAGCCGAGATCGCGCCACTGCACTCCAGCCTGGGCGACAGAGCGAGACTCCGTCTCAGAAAAAAAAAAGACATTATATACTTTTTATCTTTACTGTGATATTTGCAGTTGCACACTACAATGACTAATACCAAATTCAATCATTAAATGCAATGATATTAATTTAAATGTTAGCTTTAACTTCTTATGGCATCACTTCTAAAAATTTGTCATACAAATAATCACACGTGAAAAACTGCAAAAACATTATAAACAACTTAAATGTCCATCAATAGTAAACTAGTTGATATGGTCTGGCTCCGTGGCCCTACCCAAATCTCATCTTGAATTGATCTTGAATGATAATCTGAATTTAATCCCCATGTGTCATGGGTGGAACCAGGTGAAGATAATTGAGCCATGGGGGCAGTTACCCCCATGCCATTGTTCTCATGATAGTCAGTGAGTTCTCACAAGATCTGATGGTTTTATAAAGGGCTCCTCTCCCTTCACTCTGCACTTCTCCCTCCTGCCAGCTTGTGAAGAAGGATGTATTTGCTTCCCCTTCTGCCATGACTGTAAGTTTCCTGAGACACCCCCATCAGCCATGCAGAACTGTGAGTTAATCAAACCTCTCAGTTCTTTACAAAGAAATAGCCAATTTCAAGAAATTTCTTTATAGCAGTGTGAAAATGGACTAATACACTGGTTGAACAAATTATAATATATTCTTATAACTAACAACTATACAATGGATAAAAAGAATGAGGATATTGTATGTATGAATATAATCACCAGGCTAAAATGTTAATTGCAAAAAAAAAAAGCAAGAATTGTTTTAGAAATTTAGTCTATTTACCGAAGGGTAAACAAATTATGTAAATGAATTATACAAATCTGTCTAGTAATATGGATTGGCTTTGTGCTGGGAAAATGAGTGGAGAAGGGACAGAAGCGGTTAGGAAACTTTTCACTCTAGATTCTGATGTACCTTTGGGAAATCTCAATCATGTGAATCTATTACCTATTCAAAAAGTAAATCACATTTAAACCATAAGGATATTGTGCAGCCTGTATTGGACAGAATTTAATGTACTTCACAGTGATTACCCCAGTTGGTTTGAAATGCCAAGGGAGTAGGAGGTATTTTTATCCCTCTTTTGCAGATCATGAAGATCAGGCATGGAAGGGTAGAGCACTTGGTTCTGAATCAAGACCAAGAGTGAACCCAAACAAATACATATGGGACTCAGTGTTTGTTTGGTGAAACAATATGGCTCAGTGAGTACAATCCAGGCTCTGACAGCAAATGGCTGGATAGAAACCCAGCTCTGTCAATTACAAAACAAGTTCTTAATTAAATCTCATTTTTTTCATCTATAAAATGAGTGATAACAATAGTATCTACTTCATATACATAGGGTCAGTAAAGACTGGATTAAATAAGTATTGTTGCATTTCCAGCATGTACTAAGAACTTAATAAATAACAGATATTATTTATCCCCCTCATTATATTTTAACAACGACTTAAAAAGTCTTGAACTAGTATTAAGAGTTAATATTTTCACTGGTGCCAACAAATAAAATAAACAAAAGAACAACCACTGTGTCATGTGTTCAACAAAACCATCTCATTTTCCACTTGGCCACACAGGAAGACTCATTTTTCCATACCTTGTTATAGTTGGGGTGGGACATATGGCAGTTTTGGCTAATGGAGAGTAGGTGGAAGTGACAGATAAAACATTCTGGCATGACTTACAAAATCTCACCGTTTAAGTCTCCATTGTCACTTCCCCCTTTTGTAGCAGTCTTGGAGACTGCATGCAGAACATGAAGATGTCACAAAATGGAAGGAGCCTGACCCTGTAGAACTGTGTGCACAGAGTCCCTCTGCCCATTGGTATTGGATTGTGATGCAAGTAAGCAATAAACTTCTTTTTTTTTTTTCAGTAGAGATGAGGTCTTGCTATGTTGCCCAGGCTGGTCTTGAATACCTGGGTTCAAGTGATCCTCTGGCCTTGGCCCTCCAAAGTGCTGGGAAGCACCTCTAGCAATAAATCTTGAAGCAACTCAGATTAGGGGTTGACTTGGTGTTTTTCATTTGATTGATTGGTGGTATTGGTAGAGCATAGCAGAGCCTTTGTTTTACATGGCTTTGTGAAATAGCGCTACCTGTCAGTAGCAATATGTTAGAAGGTTTCAAATGTTTTCACCTCATGAGAGTGAAGAGACACTCATACTCTCATGAGTAACTCTCTTCCATGTTTTCTGTTTTGTTTCTTTCCCAAAAGGCCATAATATGGGATTGAGATGTTTGCTATGGTGCTGGGTTTATAGGACAGTGTGTCCCTCTAAATTTCTGGGGCCTTTGTTGCAATATGCACAGATTGCCTTAAATACTTACAGCCAGTGGGGAAAACCAGCTCTTCTAACGAGAAAATGTTACCTGCTAAGATGAAGGCATAAAGATAACAATAGAATATTTATTGGTTATTCCAGTTTTTAGAGGGTGAACTTCAGATATTTCCTTTTGCTCAGACAAGGAGATAAGTAACATGCTTCACAGAGATATCCTGAGTTTCTTGGATAGCTCCCAGTGCTGCCAAATGTTTAGAAATATTCCCAACTACTGAGCATTTTTACCTAAACCTTGTGGTTTTAGAAAAGTCCACACAAATCAAAGTTATGGGCAAATGGAGAATTACTGAATTGTGTAATTTGGCTGATCCCTTTAACGTAAGGCACACTTATTTTAGTTCTGTCAAAGCCTCTCATTTATTACCCACGGTGTTGCTGAATCTTTAAATTTAAAATAAACAATACCAACAAAACCAGAATGACTCAGAATGCCAATGCAGTATATTTTCTTTATTGAAAAAAAAAAGTGCACTTGAATAACACAGCTGTGACTTAAAAAGAAAAGAGAGAAATTATTTTAAATGTGTGGATAAAGGGAAACTGACAGAGATAAAAAGAACCTAACCCATTTTTCCTAGTGCAATAGTCAAGTGTGTCCTTCAGTTTAACACACAACTGGGCTAGAGAGAATGAGTCAGAAACTGTAACATTTTCTGAGTGTTCTCATAGAGAGTACTTACAAATGCTGTATGCAGGTTGACTTGACAAATTATGCTTCTAGAAGTTTCCCAGACAATATTAAAAGTTCTAACCATCTACAGGAAAAAATAATTGGTGGTTTCAAGCACATTTTTATAACAATAAATACATTAAGAAGTTCAGTTGCTATCACAATGAATGAAAAGCTTAAGCGACTCTTTGCCTTCCCATTGCTTAGAATATCCTTTCCATCTTGGGTCACTATTTTACAAAAATCTGTGAAGATTGAAGAGGGAGTAGCTGATATATGTTACATACTCATGATTAAACTTCGATAACACTTCAGTTGGCATTGGCTGTGTATTTTCTCAAGTTTAAAAGCCAAATACAAATAATACTCTAAATTATTTTCTGCATTTCAAAAAATATATTGGAGTTTGCCATTCATTTCTGAAGCCCTGGTGAACAGGTAAGAGGTTTCTTGGCCTCAGAATATAGGTTCATATTTCTTACCACAGTCATCATCATTACTATGACTGTCTGCATCCAGATTATTGGGACTAGCAGATTTGTTCCTGCCCTCTTTAAAAGAACAACATTTTTGAGGTGCAACATATCCACTGATTTTTAGCATCTATTCAACAGGTTTTTATACCTATTCATAGAGAGCAGAACAATATAGATACTCTATAATCTCTGAACCATATTCTCGGAGGCCAGATTCATCATCTATTTATTTACACTATTTATTTAGGAATACTGGGGTGGGCATGGGGGTTGTTCGATATTTTACCAAGCAGCAAGTTGAATGCTTGCTTTAGGGAACTTCAGTTAGATCTTAGAGATGGAAGCCCAATGGGAAGGAAAGAGTTCCAGGAGTAGTAGCCAAACCCTGATGCACTTGTAACTAGAATTGCTCACTGTAATGTACCCCACTAGCAAATGATAAAAGCAGTTTACTTCTGACCTTTCTGTAAATAAAACTGATTATCACAAGAGAAAGAAATACCAAATTTTCCCATTTGAGGGAACTCCAAAAATAATGCAATAACTCACCACAAGTGTTTTAAATTTGTTTCGTATTGTATCTATGCATACACAAGTGTACATAAAGATATACATACATACATATATATGCTATATAAATAGATGAATGGATGAATGAAGAAAAAAGAAAGAGAAAGAAGGAAGGGAGGAAGGAGAGAAAGAGAAAGAAAGAGAGAGAGAGAAGGTGAGGAGGAGAGAGTGAGAGGGAGGGAGGGAGGGAGGGAGGGAGGAAGGAAGGAAGGAAGGAAGGAAGGAAAGAAAGAGAAAGAAGGAAAGAAAGAAAAAAAAGAAAGAAAGAAAAGAAAGAAGAAAGAAAGAAGGAAAGAAAGAAAGAAAGAAAGAAAGAAAGAAAGAAAGAGAGAAAGAAAGAAAGAAAGAAAGAAAGAAAGAGAGAAGGTGAGAAGGAAAGAGTGAGAGGGAGGGAGGGAGGGAAGAAGGAAGGAAGGAAGGAAGGAAGGAAGGAAGGAAGGAAGGAAGGAAGGGAGGGAAGATAAAAGAATGAGAAAAGGTTTTTTATCCAAATTCTTCCGTGGAGTGGTCAAATATACAATGTAGCTATCATGGTATTTGTTATTTTATACTTTGGATAGCACACTACCTGTCAAAACCCCAAAAATATTTTTTAAATAAGTAACCCTGGGCATAGTGGGATTATACCTCAGTGGATTTAGACTGCAGTTTCATCTCCGCATGTGAAAATTATCTTTCATTTCAGCCCTTCCCTGTGTTATATTCACTAGGCAGAGGTAGCAGCATGTCTGGAAGTGAGACAGCTATTCCTCTCTAGGCTCATCTTGTCCAAATGTGCACATGCTCCAGAGGTTCCTCCCTCATCATTCCACAGAATACAAACCAGACACATTGCAAATATATTAAGTCCCTGGTTCATTCTGCTACTTATTTTCCTTGTTCATCTGCCTCTGGGTCCTTGATTTCTCTTTCTATGCCCTGGAAGTTAGGGCCATATCTCTTTAGCTTGATTTCCTAACCTTTGTACCATACAACCACATGCTCACCAAGACGTATATTGAATACACTTTGATGATTAGAGCTTCCCTAAGGATACAAGAGTCGCTGTTTGACATGTCACCATGTACCTCTCTCTATAAGCAAAATGAAAGAGGAAGGTTGAGAGAAGAAGTCCCATGGCCTAGCATCTGGTATTCTGCACAAGACTAATTTTCTAGAAATAAATGCTTCAGGTATACTTCTCTTGGTGCTCTTTTTTGACCTCCACCTCACTCTAGCCCCAATGCTTTAGCCTAGATTTTTCTATATTAAGATTGAAGCCAAAGAGAATAGTTTTGGTTTTCTCTGATTCTGCTGAAAAATCTCAAGCACTTTGAGATTCTCTGTTTTTGTCTAAGCGTTTGCCTGTTTAAAATTTTTTTTCATATGTGTAAATAAGGAGTTATGTGGAAAGACTCATGTCATGCTGTGAACACTAATATTATATTGGAGGGAAGGTCATTGATTATGTTTGCCTTTATGTCTTTGTGCAATATTGTTCTAATTGTTTCCATTAGATAGTATCATTATTTTAATTTGCAAAAATCAAATAAGAACTTTTTAGAAGTCTTCTTAGTATTTTTGCAGTACCTCTAGTCTCTTTAGGATGAACTAAAATATGTCTACATTTTCTCTGATTTTGACATTATAACATAAGAGGCAAACTTAATTATATGGGGAAAAATTTTCCCCTAATAAATCAACTTGCCACTCAAAATATTTGCAATCTATATGAGGCTTGTTCTGAAAAATAAATTAAACTGTTACTTTTGGGGATTTAGCAATGGAGATTGTCAAATTTTCCCTGAATAGTATGGTGACAGTTACTGACAACAGAACTGCCAGAGCCTATTCTAAAGCCAGAAAGACTTCCCACCCCTTCCTTTCCACCCTAACTTAACTCACCTTTCACTGATTTATCCTCTCCACCTCTCCAACAAACTATATGCTGCATTCTTTCACTGCTAACTTCATGTGGCCCTGAGACTTGCAGTCAGGCATCTTTTTCACTTTGGAAATAATATATACCATATCTTCCTATTGAGCAAGTAATTACGGACTTTTACCAGATCTCCACAAATCCCTTGGAGAGTTACCCTCAAATAAGCAAATTCCAGACACTTCTTCCTACCCATGCTATACTCTAAAGCCTCCTTTTTCATTAATGGTATTATTTGTGTGGAGTAACAACCATGCTTGGGGTATTCTGCAAAACATCCAATTAACCTCCAGTAGATAAAGCAGGTGGAAAAGCCCTGAACCATGAAGTCTACTGCAGCTGTATTACTTACTTTCTGTGCTACCTGGGATGTCTTTGGATGGCAGGGGGCTCTTTTAGTGTCAACACCTCCAGGAATGAAACATGGATAGGCTGACTGACCTTCCTATGGCACATGAGTGCTTTGGACATTAACTGATTTCAAATTTTGGTGTTAGCAGGAGTTCCCTGGAAGCACAGAATGAGCATTTTTCACTCTGGATTATCTCAACCTAATTAAACCAGCCAGAAAAAAAAATTTAACTATTATATCATAATGACCACTGACTACTAATATGCATACTCGGAACAAGGAATCAGGTGGCCAGATGAAGAAAAAAAAAATTCACCTTTCCTTCTTCCTAGTGTCATGGATCCCAAAGTCAATACTTAGTACATCTCTTAGGTTGATACTTAGGTTGCAATTGACTCTTTTGTTTTGCCCTGGCTCACTGCTCTAGGACTGGTTGATCTTCCTCTCATCAGTAAGACTGTTTCAGAAGAGCAGGTCTTGTGCTTGCACACCTAGATATGTCAACTCCTGCAGAAGCTCTGTTGTTACTTGGTGCTGCCTTTCCACTCTGGCTTTATAGCTTGTATTTTTTTAACCATTATCATTAATAGTCATTTGCCTAGAACTTTGCAGATTCATATATTATTTGACCACTAGAAAATATTTTAAGAATTTATTGTTAATGTCCATTTTCAAATAAGCAAACCAAAGCTCAAAGAGATCAAATTGTTTTCCTGAGGCCATGTTGTCAAAGGTATAAAAAGTGATTCCTTAACCCTGGTGGTCTGATTCCAGGACCAGCTCTCTTTTTGCTATATCATGGTGCCTCCACATATTTAATAATATGTTTTAAATTTACACCTTCCTTAATTACGAGAGTGGATATAATAAACAGTGGGATCATGGTGCTTTACTCTGTGTCTCTCCTCTTTTAATCTGTCTGGAGACATTTATTTTTAATCACCGACAATGAATGACTGCTTATTATATAATTTTATGGTCCAGGTCTAAAACCTACTGAATTGCCTTTGGTAATTATACCATGTGGAAAAAAATCTATCACATTTGCTTACCTTGACCTACTTTAACGAAGTGATAACACTCATTATTTGCAGCCGTACATCCAAATGTTCCCTATCTCCATGCAAGTTTGTCTCAGCCAGAATAAATGCCCAGTTAATCAGAGGTGTTTAGTTTGCCTTGCTAATGCTCTAATAATGCTGGTGCTTAATTCTCTGTAGCTATTACACAACTATCCTTCTTCCCATAATATCTTTGAAAATAATTGCATCTGTATTTTAATTTTTGCATATTTTTTTTTTTTTACTCAGGGAATAATATACCAAACATGTCATCTAGAAAATAATACATTGACCTTGACAAGGAATGTGAGATAGATGGTAAAGAGCCACTCTTCCACCTCACCATTTGGTCCTCTTCCCAGCTATATCATGGATACCTTCACTGAGGAATCCCTGAATGGTTCCACAGAGCCCCTCCCATCACTGTTGGGCCATGAACTGGAGCTTCCAAAACAGCCTGGGGATGACTGCATATCACAATGAGCACTGGCAGGGTTTTCCACGTGTAAAGAAGCAATGGACTATGATGGTAGTTCACAGTTTGTCCTAAGAAAACTAAATCTTTAGATTTTCCTTTCCTACCTGAAAATATACAAAACATGATATAAATGCTAAGATAAGCACTAGACCTTGCCTCTGAAAAATCCTGAAAACAATATTAACACTAATGGACTCTCCACTATCAAGTAACTCTGGATTAAGGCAGTCTCCCTTCCCTCCCAGTTCTTTGGTTCCCCAGTGTACACCAACCAGAACAAGCCAGGAGTTGGGGGAATATCCTATTTGTCAATGCAATATTCATGGTGCAGCTAAAAAAAATTGCCCTGGACATAAATATCAACATTCTGATTCCAGCTCTGTAATGAACTTCAAACCTCTGGCAAGATATATATCTTTTCTGTGTCTTATTTGCTAAATTAAAAAAAAATGCTTAACCTAATTTTTTTTGAAAGGCATTGGGAAGTTTAAGCCAATAGAGGTGAAAATAATCTACAAAGCACAAAACAATTTTTCTATGGAAATAGAAAATATTACTAAACAAAGTTCTTAGCCTAATGACTCTGATTGTGTATGTTCTGTTGTATTTTTGTTTCCCTTGTTAGCATAAGAAAATAGGAGTACAACATTATTGATTAATAATATTTTCTACTTCCGTAGAAAAAAAATTGTTTTGTACCTTTTAGATGATAGAAGGTACAAAACAACTTTTGTACCTTTTAGATTATTCTCTCCTCTATTGTCTTAGATAAACTTCCCAGTGCCTTTCAAATCAAAAAGTGGAATACATTAAAGCCACCAGAGGATGCTCATGTCATCAGATATTGTTAATACCCCTTCTCCAACTGCATAGCATGAGGGTTGGGAACTCAGATTCAAGAGTCATTCAGACCTGGGAGAAAATCTTGCGCCTGCTATGACCTTTACCAAGTTATTTTCTATTTCTGAGCTTCAATTTCTTCATCTGAAAATGGGGTAATATGTTCATCTGTCAATCTCACCTCATAGGATTCTTATAAGGATTAAATGAAGTAATGCCCATAAAAAGCATTTAACAGAAAACCTGACACATAGTGAGTGCCTGGCAAATGTGGTAAATACTGTCTCTTAACATTTCTTCCTCACAATGTAAATAGACTCTCCTGGAAATAAAGAATTCCAGACTCAATTAAGTTTGGAAGATACTGCTTTAAATTAGTTCTTAGGTGAAGAACCATTAATGTATTCCCGTATGGGACAATTCTTCAAAAAAGAGAGATGATATCTAACACTTGCCTAAAACGTTTGGAGATTAGAACACTTTATTTTTGCAGTAGTTTTGCAGGACTAGGTTTCTGGGGATCATGCTTTGGGAAATCTTGTTCTCACAAATAAGATATTCATAATATTTTCACGAAATCCCAGGATCTCATTCGTCTCAAAATAATGGGGAGAGATGGGGAAGGAAAGAGGTGGATGAGTGTCAACATGAACCACAATATGCTATGGGTTGATCACTATTGAGGCTGGATGATGGATACATGGGAGTTCATCGTAGGATTCTTTCTCTTTTGTACATGTTCAAAAAATTCCATTAAAATTTTTTAAAAGATATTAAACAAACCAGAAATATATATATATGTATACACACATATATGTATTATATATACCTACATACATGCTGTATCTTAATACATACACCAAACTCTAAGAGAAATGGCTAACCTCCCGAGGTCTACAGACCCACTCGAGCAAAAGTAAATCATCTGCTTCTTTCACTAACTTGGCAATGAAGCTCTTCTCATACTTCGGAGCCTAATGAGGTCAACTGTGGTGAATGGCAGTCAAAGGAGAACCCAACTGGGTCATCCAGAGGCAAGTATCATCTCTACTCATGTCAACCTTCTTCCCTTCTTCCCCATAAAGCCTTTTACAGAAAAAATAGGGGAATAGAAATTATATTTTTAACTTAATTTTTTTCTGTCATATTCCTGCCAGATGTGCTACTACAGTCAAAATCAACCAAGGTTTTGACAGGAGGAAAAACAGAATCAGTTCTTGAATAACAGAGACTTGAATCACCAAACATTCAATGGACGTGGTACAACAGTAGTTTTGACTTGAAGACTCATGTTCATCTGTCATTTTAACTGAAGCTGTCTTTTGGGAGTGCCAAGGTTTCTAGCTGCCAGGGAATCCTAAGGACTTGCAATTGGCCTAGAACCCATTTCACTTGCCAAAGTACCTAACTTATTACATTAAGAAAATTCTCTCTCCTGATAACAACAAAATCACCAATCAACTATCACTTTTTGGCTTTTTAGACAAAAATTCTCCCTAACTTCTCTCTTGTTCTAAATGTTATTTTAACCATACCTCACTACTTTTTATTATGCCCAATTAAAGGTACTTGCATATTTGCATCGTGTCTTTCATGGTTTAAACTCACTTTGGCACATTAACAAAATCCTATTATTGTTTATTTAATCTTTAGAAAGTTCACAGATAACTAACCTACCTGTCACCAAGATTTGTGTTTATGCATTAGGCATTTCCCAACTGGACCATTTCACAGACTCCTGGCTGGCCCTTCTCATTCATTCATTATGTGTTTACAATTCACTCAAAATTTACAAGATGCTTAAGTTTGTTTCTATTCTCTAAATTTCCCCTTTCCACTCTCCCCCTGGCCTGGCATAATGACTTTCTTCTTTATGTAAGAGTTACCTTTAAAATTAAGGTAGAGTCTTCTTACTTTGTTTCTGTTGCATAGTTTCCAACAAAGTAAAAAGAAAGAAGGGAAAAAGCTATTTTATTGAATTATGGGGATAATTTCAATCGCATTTGACAAAAAAAAAAAAATTGATTCAGGTTGTCTTAGCTTAACCTCTTATTCTTCAAAGACTTTTGAGAGGAAGCATCCCGAGGAGCTTTAAGTAGGAAAAAAACACATACACAAGGAAGTAATTCAATTTCAAGAACTGGACAGTTTCTGCCTACATGGAACTCACATCTGGGAACCTGCAGTTGGGCTGGGGCAGTAACCTACATATTAACTGTAGTAAGAATATTTGGGGAATAGAAAGCCCACACTCTCCTCACTGAAACTGGAGCTGGCCTGGAAAAACTTGAGAGGTGCTCAGATGCTGTTGTAAAGGCATCAGGGACAAACCCTACTGATGATGCTTCTTATCAGTGAAAGACCCCCCTGCACTGCTTTGCCAGTCATAAAAACAGATTTTCACCAATCCACACTCACCTCTGCCCAGTACATCATCTGCAATAGAACAAATCAAATTACAGATGGGGAGTGTAGCTGCTCCAGTCAGAGACACAGCCTGATCTCCTTGAATCAGGCTTTTCAGGCCAGCTTTCACAAGCCCCAGTTCAGAAGAAAGTGAAGTCCTTACTGACGAGACCGAGGTGTGCACTGCAGGATGTTTAAAGCGTGGGTTTCTGGCACTCTTTAGTTATAACTCTGCCACTATACCAGAATGAGATAACTCAGTTAAGATACTTGGATACTCCTAGGGTGCATCATTGTTTTGATATTCCTTGTGAATTATTTTTTCCTGACAGGGTAAGTGGAGTGGAGGCGAGAAGTCAGAAAAATAACATTTGTAAGCTAATTTCTCTGCATATGCCAGACGCCGTGTAAGCACTTCAGATGCACTCTTCACAACCAGAACATTTGTTATTCCCACTGTAGAGAAGAAAAAATTGAGTTTTAGGGTGAGGCACACAGCCAGTAAGTGGAGAAAGTCCAAAACTAAATTCAGAGCCTAAACATACCACACACACACACCAAAAGAACCAGGATTGCGATGGACATTGTCACTGAGATGGCTTCTCCCCGAACCCACAGAGTCCTCTTTGCAGGTGCATCCTGCCCTGTTCCCTTCCTGGATGTTCTAAAGGCCACAATTCTAGTTCAGGCTCCTTTCTTACCTATAGAATCTCCAAAGTCTCCCAATACATATCCTGGTCTTCTACTCCTAAGCATTGCCTAGAATGAAATGCAAACTCCAAAGACTAACCTGTAAGGCCTTGCAGGATCTTCTCCCTACTCACCTGTACTGCCTAATTTTCTCCCATATACCCTTCCTTTTCATTTTTTAAGACTTTTTTTTTGCCAGAAGAGAGCGTGAACACAGTCCCGCACTACCACAAATTGTGCAGTAGAGTTTACCATATTTGAAGGTATCTCAGGGATCAGCACATCTGTCCTGAAATAGATAAGGCTTGCCATGGGAAAACAATCTTAGGATTTGTGGCGTCTCCCTGCCAGGTACGTATCTTCTCCTACATACCCTTCAATCCATCTGATATAAACTTTTGTCTGTCTTCCAGGTATGACTCAGCTGGGGCTTCTGGTTATGTCACTCCACCTCCTTCTATGCCTGAAAACTTAATCTGTTCTTTAAGCTTTTGCTTAAATAGTGCTTCCTCCTTGAAGCCAAACTATCTCTCCAACCCCTGACTCTGCCTTTTCTGTTTAAGTATAAGCTCCTTGAGGGTTAAATTTGTGTCTCATTCAACATCAATATGCAATCACATACTGGGCCACGGCCACATAACTAACCAGAGTCAGAATTCAGTTCTGATGACTCTCTTAGCTATGTTCTTTTCAACAAGTATGTGGCTTGGGGCTTTGCTGAGATCACAGCAGGATTTTATGCTATTTTCTTGTGTTACTCAGAGCAACCAAGGCAAACTGTATCCTCAGAGGTGTGTCCTTTGAAAACAGGAGAGGAAAGTCTTATCCCACTTTTGGATTATCTAGAACAGATTAGCTTGTGGAGTTGTGAAGACTGAAGATGTCGTTTGGAGGACTTGAACAACAGAAGTGTGGGAGGATAAAAACAATCAACCAAACTAACATTTTTTCACGGTATAAAAAAACCTGTAATGATGTTAATTCATGAACAAATTTTTATTAGCTCTCATGGCCAATCTGCCTACAGAACAGACTCCATCATGGAACTACACTGCCCTTCTTGCCAGGCTCCACAACACTCTCATTTGGCAAGACAATTTCAAATACACCCTGTTACATACCAGCCTCTTCATCTCAAGAAATACAAATTCCAACCAACTACTCTGGATGTGCCTTTGAGTTTCTATGGAACTAAACTGGGCACCCATTTAGTTGGTGCTGTCATGTTTCATTTCAGCGTAAAAATTGGGAAATTTATTGAGCAAGAATCTGAATTAATCTAGGACAAAAGATAGGAAGAGTACAGTTTTGGGTGTAAGGAAAATATTCTCTATCTCATGTCAATAGCCTAAGTCATATTTTTTTCAATAAGGAAAGGCATTTCCTTTCTTCCTGCTAGCCACCATCCACATTCAATGAATAACAAACTCTTGTCCATGTTTATTTCCAAACTACTTCCAAAATCTAATTACCCTCTCTCTGCAGCCCAGGTACCAGCATTCAGACCCTTAACAGCCCTCATATGGATGTATTTTCCCTGGATTTCTTCTTAAAACTATCCTTCAATGCTTCTCAAACTGTGGAGTGTATAAGAGTCACCTGGAATAAGAATCACCTGCATTTTTTTTTTTTTTTTTTTGAGACAGAGTCTCACTGTCACCCAGGCTGGAGGGCAGCGGCGCCATCTCAGCTTGCTGCAACCTTCACCTTCTGGGTTCAAGCGATTCTCCTGCCTCAGTCTCCCAAGTAGGTGGGACTATAGGCACGTGCCACCGCGCCCAGCTAATTTTTATATTTTTAGTAGAGAGGGGTTTTGCCATATTGGCCAGGCTGCTCTTGAACTCCTGACCACTTGATCTGCCCACCTTGGCCTCCCAAAGTGCTGGGATTACAGGTATGAGCCACCATGCCTGGCCTCACCTGCATTTCTTAAATGCAGATTTGTAGCAACTATTCCACAGACAGTCGGATGTATGAGGTGTGAGTGGGGCCCAATGATTTACATTTTAACCAAGCATCCCATGAAACTCTAATATAGGTACTTCAAATGCTGCATTTTGATGAGAACAAGGACAACATTGGCCTGAAACTATAGGATTTAAAATAAAAATCTTAAAACAATTTACATATACTAAAATTGCTCACATATTTTTCCCACAGTCAACTGGAAACAGTGAAAATTATTGACCATGATGACATAAATGTTCAAAGACCTTAGTGAATTGAATCCTTTCCGTCTCTTGCCCAACTTCTCAGAGCCTCCAGAATAATACTGTGCCAAGACATTCAGTGTGCTCTTCCTCACAAAGCTCTCTCTGGTTTTGAAGACCCTCCTAGAATTTTTTTCTGACCAACTTCCATCGGGGATTGCCTCTTCATGTCCTTGGGTTCCATCCCCTCCCACACCCATGTGGCTTAGGAGAGCCCTCCCTGTGCAGTCTCTATCATAGCATTCCCCACAAGGTAGTGAGACTATCTACAGTTGACCCTTGAACAACACAGTTTTGAATTGCACAGATTCACTTATATATGTGAATTTTTAAAGAAACAAAAGTTACACCAAGTGTGCCTGCCTCACCTGCCTCCCCTTCCACTTCCTCCATCACTTCTGCCTCTGCCACCCCTGATGCAGCAAGGCCAGCTCCTCCTCTACCTCCTCATCCTACTCAACGTGAAGACAATAAGGATAAAAGCTTTATGATGATCCACTTCCACTTAATGAACCGTAAATATATTTTCTCTTTCTTATGATTTTCTTAATGTTTTCTCTAGCTTACTTTATTATAAGAATACAGTATATAATACATATAACATATAAAATATGTGTTTATCGACTGTTTCTGTTCTTGGTAAGGCTTCCGGTCAACAGTAGGCCATTAATAGTTAAGTTCTGGGAGAGTCCAAAGTTATAGGCAGGTTTTCAACTACATGGCTGATCAGTGCCCTTAACCCCGACATTGTTCAAGGGTCGACTGTACTTTCTTATTTGTTTTTCCACTACACCATGACCTATTTTCATATAAGGAGCATGCCTTATTTTTTGCCTAGCTTCCTATATAGGAAACACTCAATAAATAACGTCTATTGGAATTTATCCTCAGATGCTATCACACCCCCATACAACTGGTTCCCTTATCCGAAAAGCCAAGTTAGGATTTGATGCACCTGGTCTAGGACCTCCCGACTCCCTTAAAAGGAATAGAAATCAGCTCTAATTTCTCATCTCAAGTGTAAATCAAGCAAGGAAATAGAATTATTGTAAGAGACCTAGAGTGGGATTTTAAATCAAGCGAGATGAAAGAAGAAATCTACATACAGAATAAATCGGTCAACCATATAGCAAAGTACTAAGAGTCACAGGCTTTAGAGACAGCCTGAGAAAGCTGGAATTCCAGCTTTTCCATTGACAGGCTGTGTGATTTTGAGCAGGCTCTATAAATTCTCTGTGCCTCAGTTTCCTAATAGGGGACAAAGAATAACCCCTAAGGCTGTTAAAACAAGTAAAAAAGTAGAGCAGACTTCAGCAAAGTTTTTCCATAAAGGGCCAGAAAGTTCCTATTTTAGGATTTGCAAAACTGACAGTCTCTCTCTCTCTCTCTCTCTCTCTCTCTCTCTATTCAAAAGGAGAAGCAGCTATAGACAATATGTAAACAAGTGGGCATGGTTGTGTTCCATTAAAACTTTATTTACAAAAACAGGCATTGAATAGAGCAACTGGAGTGTATTGAGGCTGAGCAGTGGGCCAGATTTGGCCAGAGGGCTGTAGTATACTGACTTTTACATAAAAACAATCCTTGGCATATGTTAAACTTAATAATATTGTAGCTTTTATTATTTTGCTTGGAGGAATTTGCTTCCCAGCAAATAACTCAAGTTTCAACCTTTTATACAAACTTTAATCATATTCTCACTGTAATGAGAACACATTTTGCCTATTTGTATTAATTGCAATCAATACAGAATGAGCTGACATCTAAGACTCACTACCTCAGAAGATTTCCTCCCATTCCTCATTTATGTTTGCATTAGAAATAAAACCAGCAGGGTATTTTCTGGAATATCGCTTCCCCTATAATTTCAACCATTCTGAAGTGCAGAACTTAATTTGAAAAACCTGTAAGACACTATAATGGGAAACACGCCAATAACAGCAGCAGCCTGACTAATGTGAATGGTTTTGTTCATTTGAAAATAATTTATATTGAATGATGAACTGTTAATAATTGTATTAAATTAAATTAAATTAAATTCTGAGAACACTGAATGAAACCGAGGCACTAAACTACTGAATGTGGAATAAATTACTCCCTTTCTCCTCTCTAGTATCACATTTTTACTTATACTGTTTTATATATATATATATATATATTTCTACTTATACGGTAATATATTTTTTATATATATATATATATTCCTAATTTTCAGAATTACTTAGAGATCTCTGACCAGCAAGTCATGGCATTGATGCCACTACCCAGTAAATTTAGGGTGTCCTGGGGTGAGTTCAACAGCCACATATTCTTGTGATTCTTATTGTGCTGCTAAATTACAAGTACAGTTACTTAACCACTTCTGATATTTGCTCCAGGAGCTAAAAATAAATTTTTTTGACAAACAAATTTAAAGAAGCCACACCTGCCTCCTTTTTGTACGAACTTTTGCAAGCATATTTTTTTGGCAGGGTTTGTCTAGAAGTTGTTGCTCTCCTCTGCCCACACAGTCCTCAGCTTATTAGATCTTATAAATGTCTGTCTTCATTTGCAGGGCTTGGACCAGCAGCAGCTGCTGCAACCCAGAATGAGACAGGAAATTCTCTTGCTTATTGATGGTCTCAGACACTCACATTTCCTCCACTCTCCCTCTCCCTTCCACCATATTTGCTCAGCCTCAATACACTCCAGTTGCTCTAACCCTTGTCATGAACACCTTTGAGCCAGTCATTTCTTACAGTGAAGTCTACATAATTTCCCAGCTCCCAGCTGACCTGACTGCTGATTTTCCATGCCTGCCGAGGTATCTCATCTAACAATACCGAAAATAGCTCAAAATAGGTGGGTAGGGTCATCTCTCACCTTGGAACACCTTCCCATGCTTTGAAGAGATATCATCTCTGTGGAGTGTGTGGTTTCATCACCATCCTGAGCTAAGAGCCTCATCTGTGCCCCATACACAGGCTCAACTGCAGATTGAGATTATCCTATGGATGAATGCCCTGCCAAATCCCCACTGGCAGTGAGTTTCTGCAAAACACTAGCTTGGATGTGTTTGTACAATGTTCAGGCCCAGTCCTATATTTAGAGAAGAGTGCCTGATTCTCCACTTTCTGGAAATGTCGTGAGTAACTTGCTGCTTCAGTGCTATTATTCTTCTTGACTTCCAATCATTTAAGTCATTTTATCAGCCTGGTCTCACACATGGCTTTGCTTCTACATGGATGGAATGTCAAAATGTGTAGATTCAGATCTATTCTGAGCAGTTTGAATAAATCCCACATGCTTGCTGACAAATTTAGCTCATTTTTCAAATGGATTAGGTGCTTTTTCCCCCTCTAACTAATTAGATTTTGTTCATTTTATTCATTTGGATGTGTATATATGTGGATCGGGCGGCTATTGGAAGTGAATACCACTTTCAAAGTAGAAAATACTTAGATAAGTGTAACTCTTGGTATTAAGGAAAATACCCTTCTTTCTGAACAAATTAGCTCTAAGTAGTCAATCCTAATATAGCTGTATGCGAAGAAATGCTGACTCACCCAACAGCTTCATTTTCCCCTTCCCTGGTTTCTTGAAGAGGTGAATGGGCCTTTGTCCCTAGTGTTTCACTGGAGGCTGTCATCTCAGAATTCTCCCCACAAGATAGCTGATGCCATAATCTCCCTTTGTCCTGAGGGTGAAACATACCTTAGAGAGTGTCCCGCTCACAGATCCCCAGTATCCAGGGATACTTTCAAGACTCCAAGTCCTTGCTCTTACACAACTGCCCATTGATTAGGGTACTATTTCTCAGGACACCTCTGACTGTGACCACATCCAATGGGAAAAGACTTAAAAACACATTAGTCTTAACAGAATCATTGACTTAATCAAATTCAATGGGCAGGAAAGTCATCTTGTTAAATTACAGATTCTGATTCAGTAGTAGGTCAGGCATGGGGCTCAAGTTCTTTTTTCGTAACCAGCTCTCAGGAGATACCCAAGCTCTGGGTCTGCAGACTACATTTTGGGTAACAAGGATTTAAACCACCCTATATGCAACAACATCATACACAGACATTAACGAGTTTAAACTCCTAGACAAGCCTCCAAAATTGAATATTTTCTACTTTAAATACACTTTTATGTATTTAAAGTCAGAACTAGAGGTCTTGATAACTGAAAATTTCTGTAACTGGCATGAACCTCAATGAGAATTTCTGTTTCTGCCTGTATTCCAGAAAAAATCTACAGTAAGAAGTTGTGCTCCCAACTCAGCAAACTCTCTAGTGGAAGGCTGAATATCTCAACCCTTTCATGAAAGCTAAATAGGCAACGTGCTCTGACCCCCTTCTTCATCTCCAGTATGTCTCCATGATGACTCCCACCGGAGTGGAGTAAATCTCTATTCTCCTTGGTCTCATGCCACCTCCAATCATGGCTCAAAAGGGCAAATATGTCTCATAGCATCAGTTCCTCACACTACAAGTTTCCTGTGGCAGAGCTACCAGTTGCTATTTCCACAGAATCTTAGTGTGTTTCTCACTTTCTCAAACAGCTTGAACATCTCCCAGATCTATGGTGACCAGACATATTGAGAAATGTCCTCCTACCTCCTCAAGAACAAGATTCACACCTATCACTACAAAACCCGCTTGGAATAATCACCTATTTCCTCTAATAGTGATGATAACAATAGTTTCCTTTTAATTTATATTTTCAATGGGCCAGAACTGTCCTGAGAATCTTACAGGTGATACATGAATCACAACAAATCCTAATGAGATGAGACTGTCCCTATTCCACAATGAGGACAACCAGCGACACTGAGAGATCAAGTAATTTGCCTTCACAGCTGGTAAATGACGGCACCTGAGTTTGAGATCAAGTCTGCTAATTCTGAAACTGTACTCTGAACTTCTATGCTGTGTCTCCAATGCTCTAGGTATTGTTTGGAAGAAAATGTTGTAATCCACACTGCCCCAAATCACCTGGCCAGCTCCATTTTGCTATATCCTGAGGAAGAAAACTGACTCAAGAAATTTTCCTTTTCTCAAACCAAACATTCAAACACCCAAAGATAACAGGAGAACATTGGCTTGGCAATGATTGAATTCTGCTCTAGAAGACCTTGCAAAAGCCCCATATTTCTCTCCTCATCAGGGGAACAGAGACATATGCAAATCAATTCCCAGGACCTCTCCTGATATTTTGCAGTTTCTCTCATCAAAGTAAACCTATAGGTCTTCATCTAAAAACTATTACAATTAAAGTATTTACAATATACAGAAAGGTCAAAACTTTGCCAAAGCCCTCAAATCCCTAAGGAACTAAAAACACATCCTCCCCATCTTTTGTATCTTCCAAACATTGAGGACAGTGTATATGGCAGGTGCTTAAAATTGCCTGAATGCAAAGCTGAATGAGTGAATGCAGTATTTGCCTATGTAGATGTGGCCAATGTTAAAACCAAAATAAAACAAAACCAACAAAGCACGTGTATACCTGAAAGAATTTTTTCTCTCACATATGTTTTAAGTAATAGTTGCCTGTCTATTTCAGACCTCGTGGTGCATGTGAGGGTATATTTGTCAGGCTAAGGAAAGAGGGTTCAAAGTAATTGAGAAAAGCAGTTTCAATGATAATGGTTTGATTGAAATTTCTTAAAGTACTTTTAGAATATATCCCATGCAGTCCCATAACCTGGTGAACAAATATGCTGAAGGTTAAATCATTTAAAAATCATAGAGGGTCACAGTGGTGACCAGGAATTTTTGCAATATGGCATCCACTAATAGCATGAGGTTTTGAGCAAAGTCTGTACTGAGTGAGGGCATGCCCTTAAATGTGTTTTCTTAGCAAATTCCCTGTGGGTCTTATATTTCTTGCCTTTTGCCCCATTTTAACAGAATGGTCAACCCTTTGACCTCCTGGACAGTGAGGTCTGGCTCCCTCTCTATAAAATTAGTTATTGAACCAAAGACTGATGCTATCTCTGCTAACCTTTTTACTTTAATGACATATATCTTCATTCTATATATAATGTTCTCTGATGTTTTGGCAGTCTTTAAGACATTTCATTATGCCAGCATCATTGATCCCTGCAACAGCCTACTCATCATCTAGCTCTGACTCTTCCTCTTTCCCTCTCCTTTCCTTTGTCTTTTCTCCCTCATTTGCACTAACTTAATGGAGAAGCATTTTTATTCGTAGATTTGTGGCTCAGGTTGCTAAAGGTCATTAAAGGCAGTGGTGGGAAATTAAATGAGATAGATTTTTGTAGTTACCATTTCAGTTCTAAATAAGCATAATGCTTGATTCTTTCAGGGGTGCAAACCTGAAATTACATTTCTAAAAGTCAAAAACTTGGATTTTACTGTGAAATATATTCTTATTGCTTCATTCCACTTAGAAAAACTTAAAATATATTTAGACTTTATGATAATTCTTGAAATCCAACTTTTCAAGTTAGTAGGGCATTTCTACTCTCAATTTCCATTTTACAAACTTATTTACTCATTTATTTGTTAACAAGATAGGCCATGTTTAAATGAAAGTCCAGGGATCTAGGATTTTATATTCTTGGTTTAATACTCTAGCTCATGTTTCCATATCTCCCCCAAGTCATTACTTGTTTGATTTCAACCATTAACTTTCCAAGTGTCCTTTATGCATCAGGCACTGGGCCAGTTATGAGAACCCAAAGGAGAACAGGCATAGCTACAAGCTCAAAGATTTTGCAGTCTTTCTCATAACCCTCCCAGACATAAAATGCAATATATCTTTTCTAAGCTAAAATTGAATTTGTAGATGTGTTTGAGGTCTGTATAGAGTTTTCTCAAATCATTGGAAGCCACTGGGGAAGCAAAACCCACTCAGGAAGTTATCCACTGACAGTCTGGTGTACATGAGCCAAACTTCAATGACTCCTTGTTTTTTCTTCCTCCATTCTACCCCAAGGACCACATCTCTATCAATTCTGGTGCCTCCCAGCTCTCAGATTATTACCCAAAACAATGTAGAACCAAAGCATGGAGGACTTAAATCATATTTTTCAAATTGATAACAGATATTAACTCTAGGATCTCCTCCAAAGCTCCGACAATTTAAACTCTTTTTTTCCTTTTCACTATGCTAATTTTTCTTATACATGCATTTATAAAGCCATGTTAAAGACCATATTCTAGTTAAACAGTTAAATGAGTCTATTTTTAAACAGTTAAACTATCTGTCTTCAGGGACGTTTGTACAATGTTAATGTTAAATTCCACCTTCTAGACAAATCTACACCAACCTGAGTGTTCTTTTCTCCTTTTCTTACCTCCACCGCCATCTGTCATCCACTTCCACAATCATCCCCCCACACAAAAGAAGAAGAAGGAAAAAAAAAACCTCCTTCACTTCACTTTCTTCAGGTCATTTAAAACCAGCAATTTCTCTTTTAGCATTTTTGTTCTACCTGCTTCACTCTGCAACTCAATAATCTATAACTATATCGTTATAATGATATAATGATATAATCTATATATCATTCAGTATGACTTTAGATTATTTTTAACTACCGGTTTTGAATATCTTTACCTATGTTGCAAATGCTCCGCATTCAACATATTCTAAATATAATTCACTCTCTCCCCCATCCCATTCACTTTCCTGTATTTTTCCCCTCGGTAGACACCGTTATCTACATTATTTCCTAAGCAGATGGCCCCAAGTTATCCTCAACTCTTCTTCATCCATGTAATCAATTACCACTTTTTTGTCACTTTTTAAAATATTTTAAACCTAAATTTTCATCTTCATTTTTAATGCCATTTTTTAATTCAGGTCCTCATAAGTTGTAATTTTGTTATAAAGCCTCTTAACTGGTCTGCCAACCTCTAATCTTGATTCCCCACTCTCATGCAGACAATCCACCTTCCACACTGCCACCAGACTGGTCTTTCTTCCCCAGCCTAAAATCATGAATGGTCTCCCTATCACCGTCATGGTAAAATCCATATAACAGCATAAACAACAAAGCCTTTGGAGTCTGATTTGGCTCCTGCCAGACTACCACTCTCAGCTCCACTTCTGACCACCACCACTCGCCTTAATAATAATAAGAGCAGTTGTTGGTACCCAGGGGTGCTTCTCTATCACCGGCATATTGCTAAGTGACTTATGTGGATATTATTTCATAAGTCTCACAATGACCCTGTGATACTATTGTTATTATCCTCATGTTTCAAACTTGCCAAAGGGCACAGAGGAGGGGTGCAAACCTGACTGTGCTTTACAGCTGTGTCCACCTCTATCTGACGTGCCACGTGCTCTCACACCTCTATAATGTACAAGTCTGCTAAAAAGTTCCTTGCCTCTCTATTCTAATGACAATTCTGCCTCTTCTTTTCTCCAGACTTTGATATGCAGGCATAAGCCCCAAGCAGAGTTGTTGCTTGTTGTTGTTGTTGTTGTTGTTGTTGTTGTTGTTGTTGTTGTTGTTTTAATCATAGAGCATGTTTTCCAACATCTATTTGGCATTTATCTTAAACCAGTGACACACATCAAGTCATTCCTCATCCCACACCCCTGACTGACAAAGAACAAAGACAAAGGAACTGAAGGTTCCATGTACTGAGGTTGAGCCTTGGAGGAGGGTATGATTCTCTACAAACCTTCAAGTGGAAGGAGTGGAGAGATTATCAATGGTGTGAGAGGGGCCACCCTCTTCCCCTATTCGCTGTTCTTGCTGGCAGTTACCAGAAAGACAGAATCACAATTGATGAGCAAGGCTTAAGTTCATAGCAGAAGGGGAGGTAGATGGAATAGAGAAGCATAGAGAACACCTGTCTAGTCATTGAATTAAAAGAACTGCAATGTAGATGGCCCTGCTTATCAGATTAGGAGAAAAGATAATAGACAATGAGTAGAAAACCTATTTGGACATAGTATCTACGTGCCTTCTCCTTTCAGAAGCTTTTAAAAGGCAGGAATCTGTCTTTGAAATCACTCCATCTCATTCATATCTACATCTCTTTACCTGTCTGCCTCAAAAGGTGTTTGTTTAAAAAAAGGATGAACAAAAGAAATAACAAGCTAACAAATAGAAGAAACAACACTTACGAATAGCTATCTTCACTAAATTCACTTCTTAAGCAATTACAACTCATAATGCCCTGTTACATCCACTGTTTTAGTAAGTAGAACTTAATGAGAAAATCCACGCAGGTAAAATTATCATCAGCGGAAATTACTGTTGTCTTCAAATTTGGAGATACAGGAGAGTTTTCCATTGAGTGATTTAAGGCAAAACTGATTTCCCCAGAGGACTCCTTTGTGGAATCACTGCCATCAGAGTACAAACCTCCTCCAGCATGAAAAATGGCTGTGAGAACCAAAGTACCTACCAAAGAGCCATGGCCCAACATACATGATTGTCCACCTGAATGAGCCCCAGAAACTGCCTCCCTAACCCGACATTAAGAAACAATAATGACAATGATGTAATAAAATTAAATAACCCCCTAATATAAAACTTCTCAACATTTTTCTCACTATCTCACATTCAATTCTGTTTGGCATGACAATAGGTTTTAAAGTACGAGAAAAGAAAGTTCCAGGGACGCTCATCCTGATAATATTCCTTAAATTAGTATCCTGTAATCTAGTTTCCATTTAGCCATTGGAATTTCCCAGCAACCCCTGGCTTGAGGAAAACTGTACAAAATATAAAAATATAATATAAAGACAAAAGTGTGGCCACAATCAAATGTTTACAGCAGTGAAGAGGCAAATAAGTGAATACGAGTGTCCATAGTGATGCTGTATCCATCTTCATACCTCTTCATGAATTTCCAGCACAGCAGAAGACTTCCTGACTGTGGTTACGGTGTGCAGCCTAGATATAGGAGAAGAAAAATGCAATTTAATATCTACATATACACACACATAAATACATATGTACATATACATACATATGTATATGTCAAACGACTACTATGAGGATTATGTGCACAAATCTTGAATTAGCAACAGACAGAAAATAATAATTCAATTTGAAATATTCAAAGTCAAGGAATTATTTGGGCAGAGTTTTCCAAAAACAAGCCACTCATTTACAGCACATTTCGTATGCCATCATGAGTTTCCTGTTTTCCAGAACAAACTTAATTGCACACCTACCTGCACTATATATGTAGGCCTTGTGATTCACCTACTGAAGGAATGTTCTTTATGAAGACAGCATTGCAAGCCAAGGTGGTCAGGGGAGGTTTGATTATGATAGCAATGCCAGAGTTTGCAGCTTTGTTCTCCCTTGTTATCTTCACTCAGTACCAGGAATGCAAATGACTCCATCCTTCACTGCATACCCCCAATCAAATGTTCGAACCCCCAGTGCCTTTTGAACATTTCTTCTCCATTTGAGATAGGCCTAGCATCTGCAGCCTCTTTTCCCTGTCACTGCCCATAGGTGGCCTCACTGGTCTCTGTGTAGGCAAAGGCCTATGACTCCATGAGCTGTACTGCCATTGTCTTCCTTTCTCAGCCTCTGGTTCGTTAGCTTTCAACAATGTACAAGAGAGTCATCTGGGAGAGGTAAACAATTAAACAACGGAAGCTCAAGACCAATCCAGACAAAGCCAAATCTCTATAGTTGGGGCCCAGGCAGCAGTCATTTTTCAAAATTCCCCAGGTGTCTCCATTACACAGCCAGGGTGGAGCAGTGCTGTTTACAAAATATGGGAGACTACATCTGGATACCCAGGTGTAGGAAAGAATAACATTCCAGAAAGAGCTCTTGGCCACATTTGTTTCCTTTGGTTCACCAACTTCTACCAAAATCTCAGAGGATTCAATTCAGGAGGAAAAAATGAGTTTAACTTGTAATAGACTGTTAAAATTACCCAAAATTTATTTCCACAATCCCATATTCAATACATTAGCTTTATTATTTGATTTCAAAATATTTCCCAAGAGGGTGTCCCCTTATAAGCAAAAACATTTCAGGGCTCAGAAAAGAAAAGAATAAGGATATTGATTAATCCAGTTTAATTCACTTGTTCTGGTTTGTGCAATAATTCTAAACTAGCTTCACATCACTTAACCTTGCTCTGCAGACCTGCACATTACTCACTTGCATAACTTCTTAATAACAACAAAGAGAAATGAGGTTTCTTTTTGGCTTCTTTGTAAAGATAAAAAGAAACCTCTGGTGGCTACCATCCACCCGTCTGCTCTTCTCTGAAGCAGCCCCTTCTAAAATCTACGACTCAATATCTCTTCAGCATTCCTTCCACAAAGAGGCTTCAACCTCTAGCACCTAAGGGCTCCTCACTGCTTCAGCTCTACCGCCTGCTTTTTCCCCGAAAGCTGACCCTCTAGAGAAAAGAAATAGCCCTGTCCTCCTCCAGCAGAGCAATTGCTATATTTCGTATAAACGGCTAATAGGAACCAGTGAACCGAGCTGTCTCTTGCCTGACTGATTTTCCCAAAGGTCTGTGGCCCTAAGTCACTTTCTCCCACATAAATTTCCCTCTTCCCATTGTTGAGTATTGAATATTTATGGGCTGCTCACAGTTGTGAGTGAATGTACAGAACACAGAGGCAGTCTGAGGCAAAATTACGAGGCACGTGAAATTTGCTTGCAGTCATTCCTGTCAAACTCCCATCTCCTTCAGATGAAGAAGTGTGCCGTTACTTTCTCCCACAACTGCTCTATTAAAATTATTCTCTCTATCTGCATTTATAACAAAATATCAATAGCCAGTGAGGACATAGTGTTATTACTTCAGAAAGAGATGCTTTTTAGCATTTGGATTTAACTGTTCAATTCAACAGCAAAGGCAGTAACCACCAAAAAATATGAAAGCACTACTAACAATTGTCCCTTAGATCTTTTCACACATCAATTTTGCTTAATTCTTACAACTTCAGGAGATGGGTATTGTTACTGTTTATTCCAATTCTAGGCTCTATGTAGTTAATTTGTTCAAAGATATAGAGCTATTGTAAACGTATTGTAAACAACTGAACATTAAATACTGGTCTTCTATCTTCAAATTGTGTGTGTCTTCCCCTATACCACAGCAATAATGATAATACCACCTTTTATTTGTGCCTTTTTGTCATCTTTTCATTTGACCCGTGGTGAGGAACCTAAAGTCCAAAATATTTGTCACTTGCTCAGGCACAATGAAAGAACAAGACAAAACCCACATCTTCTCATAGCTAGTTCTACTTTTTTGTCTACTGTCCCTTACTTATTCAAGGGAAGAAGTATTAAGAAATATCTAGAAAATCAAGTAAATAAGAACAAAAAGCACTGAGACCAGGGGCCATCTCAACACCCCTCACCTCAGACCATGAATTCAGGTGCCTCTTCCACTTTTTACTGCTAATACTGACCATGAGTGGACACAGAAGACCACCAATAACCCCCAAGTCTTTACTCACCCTGAGCCTTTTGGGTCTTTAGGAAAAATGGTACTGGATTCCCAAACTCTTTTCACTGTGTAGCACAAACAGTATCAACCAAGGAGGATACATTTTGAAACCCAGTAGACTTGAATTTGAATTTCTCCTCTGCTACTTTCTGGCTGTTTAAACATGGGCAGCTTACTTAACTTTAACCTTACTTGAACCTCAATTTCTTCTTCTGACAAAGAAAAAGAATAACCCAAGACTCTTGTGAAATAAAATAAAAGAAATCTGGCACAGAGCAGAAATGTCATCTCCCTTCTCCCCTTCCTTCCTCTGCCCGCCCAACTTTTATGCCCTTAGCTAGTGGTAGTGATGTGCCAGACAAGAGAACCATTCTATTGTGAGATCAAAGCCATGTGAAACAGTACTCTTGGAATAAAATGGATTTGGTCCCAGATATGCAATGTACGAGCCATGCATAAATAGTGGTTGTTGCTCAAATGGACACATCTCTGTATCTTAGTTGCTCCACGATCAAAAAAGAATCACTTCTCACTATCTATCCATGTCATACAACCTCTACATAGCTGATTACTTGATTTCAGGAATTTTGATAAACAGAAAATAAAGTCCTTCCTACACTACTCCTAGGCGATGAGCTTTAACCCTAAGAAGACAGCACATCTGAGTACCTTGAACCCTGCCGGATTTTGAAACAAAGAGAGTGTAATTCATTTCCAGCTTCTGAAGTTTTACCTGAAGCCTTCCAGAGACTTCTTCTTGGTTGCTTTCAAACCACCAGTTTGGCAACAGGCAAATTTGTAATCAATAACTTGGTAAATGATGGGATTGTACATCGCTGCAGATTTTGCAAGTAGGGTTGGCACCACAGAGAGCTGTATGGGAATGGAGTCTGGCCTTCCAAAAGCTGACCACACAGACACCACTGCATAAGGAATCCAGGCAATCAGGAATCCAGCACAAATCAACATCGCTACCTGATGAGGGAAAGCAACAGAGAAAAGAATCAAGATGACTGATAAAGGACATGAGTCTGAAACGATGGGTATGGAGAAGGATCAGGTCACCTCTCACAGCCAAGAAAGTCTGTCATTGTTTTCATTTACTTTGTACATAGGAATCATTTCATATGGACTTCTGAGAAGTTCAGCCAAAAGAAGTGATTACAATTTTTTATCCCATTTACCACATCCTATCTAGTATCCACTCTAGAATTTGAATGTACCCAAAGACCCAAAATATAACCCTCAAATAGCTGTCAGATTATGACTCCATGGAGCAGGAAATCATAATATTTCTGGACTTCTCAACCCACATTCACTTAAAAACTCGATGGAAAATATATTCACCTTGATGAAATTTTAAATCATCCATATTCACCTCAGGAAACAGAAATTCTGCCCTAGTTTGAAATTCTAATTTGCATGTTCAGAAATTTCTATTAAATGTTATTTCTTTTAACTCAAATTTTTGTCAGGTGTGAGACTCAGGTACTGGAAATTCACTAGGTACATAATGTAAAATAAGTCATTGAGATTCAGCCAAAGTGGCATAGTTGTATGGAACAAGACTTTTTCAGAAAACACTTTTCACTCTCACAAAATTATAATCACCTTCGGAGCCTCTTTATTTTCAGACCAAAGAATAATTAGCGATAGGGTTTTAAATACCCTCAGAAGTCTCTTGCCATCTGCAATTCAGTCCCTTTAATAATGTAGTCCTAATTAGTGCTGTGTAACTACCCGCCTGACCCCTATGCATCATCTCACTTCAATTCAACAAACTCTTTTTAGCAAGTGCTTTGTGTAAGACCCTATGCCTAGGGCTGTGGGGAATACCAGTAAAACCTAGAGCCTGAGTTGTATCCCTCTAGAATACAAATAACTACAGTACAAGGCTGAATATTATTTAAGTGGCAGCTCAGAGGAGGACACATATACATCCTATGGGGCAAATTGGGGCGTTTCTTTTTTGAGATGAAGTTTCGCTCTTGTTGCCCAGGCTGGAATGCAGTGGCGCAATCTTGGTTCACTGCAACCTCTGCCTGCCAGGTTCAAGCGATTCTCCTGCCTCAGCCTCCCAAGTAGCTGGGATTACAGGTGCACACCACCATGCCTGGCTAATTTTTGTATTTTTGTAGAGACAGGGTTTCACCATGTTGGCCAGGCTGGTCTCGAACTCCCGACCTTAGGTGATCCACCCACCTCGGCTTCCCAAAGTGCTGGGATTACAGGCATGAGCCATCGCGCCTGGCCTACTGAGGAGAGTTACAAAGAGGACGTGCACCTTGGCAAGTAGAAATAAAGAAATAGTGGTGAAACAAAGTAAAGGCATAGACAGGAATGTGAGAGGTCTGTATAGGAACCAGTGAGCAATTCACTGTGGTAGGAGAAAGCAACAAAGGGAAATGAGGCAGGAAAGAAAGATTCAGGGTTTTGTATGGCATTATTGAGCTTGCACTTAATTCTGTATTCTTTGAGACACTAGTAGGTTTTTGAGCAGGAAATATGATGAGAGCGCTGCTTAGGAGGATTAGCCTGTAGAGTAAAATGGCGTAGAAAAAAATAGAAGGTAGAAAGATCATTGTTTATTTATTCAATCAACAAGTATTACTGAGCATCTTCCACATGTTTTGTGTGAAGGATAAAGCAATAAACAAAGCAGACACATCCCTGCCCATGTACAATTTCTACTCTTAGCATGCTTGGTTAGGCAAGAGTCTAAAGAAGAAATAAGAAATTAGAGTATTGAGACTGACAAATGTAATCAAAACTTTGGTTTTTATTTAAAACTTGTGCTATTTCAGGCCCTAATTGAGAAAGCGTACACTAACTTCAAAGTATCCTTACACAATGTTATCTACTAGGATATTCCTTCTGTAAAATAAATTTGAAAACTGTATTCAAATCTGTCTTCTGCGTAGTAAGACACCTATTTGTTTTTTGGGGGGGTTGTTTGTTTGTTCGTTTGTTCACCTTTGTTTCCACCTTCCCAGTGTATGTCTTCTACCTTAGCATCACCAGCACCCCTCAATCTGCTAGGCTGCTTTATGAAGTTGACATCATGGGCATCACATGACCCAAGTCTGACCAAGCAGAGGACTACACATTCCTGGCTACAATAATAGGAATAGAGAGCAGCGCATGACTCAAAAGATCTTGATCAGACCCACCTTGGGGATTTTATAAAGGAGTTCCAGGAAAATTGGACTTTCCTATAATCTCTGAGTAAGGATGGAGCTATGCCAGGTATCACTTCCTTTTACTCCCGTCCCCAACTTTAAGAAGCAAAATAACAATTCCCAACATCAGGGTCATGACAAGTTCCAGAGAATCAATGATAAGGAGTGAGACATACAATGTTTTATTAGTAATAATTAAAGCAACACTATTTGCGAATGCCTTTTTTGTTTTAGACAGTTAATTGGATGTGTTTTTCCCATAACAAGGACATATGTGTGCCCGTGCATTTCAGTACACTTTAGCGGTAGGCAGGAAATGGTCCACAGCCTTCGGTCTACTTGACCTGTGGAACAGCCTGTCTATGGGGTGTGTTGGCCCTAGGAACCCGCCTCTGTGGTGTGTATAAGAATGAAACATGGAAAATCTAAAGTCTAACCTAAAGTCTCAGGTTCTAAAATTCTACCCAAGAATTTCAGAACTCATCTCTGAACATTACCTGCAGCACACACACACACACACACACAATTAATAATATCAATTTTTTTTCCATTTTACAAATAGAGAATCTGAATCCCCAGGAAATCAATCAAGTGAGCCCAGATCTCCTGCATGATCTGCAACCTTGCTTTCGGTCCTTGGCCAAAATTCTCACCTATGCTTAGCAGTTAAACTGTCAAGTCCCAATGTGCACACGCAGCTCTCCTGTTGGACTTGCTTTCCTATCTTTCTACGAAGCTTACCCAGGAGAAATTTTTATTTGGTTATGTCTGTGTGACTTTTGCTTGTAAATGGAATGGATGCCTCAAGGCTCACAGTGAGGGCCTTCTTTTTCTAAATCCCCAAATAAACACTAACTATAGAAATAAAGCTTGCTTTAGCAGATGTCTAGGGACTTAACATAGCTCCATCTTTGCTTCTTTGGTGAGTCATATGATGAGTTCACAGTATCCCAAAAGCTGTTTTCTGTGTTGCTGCCAAAGTCATTGACAAAAAATAGATTAGCACTTAGTCCATAATATTTTCTACATTTTACGTGTTTTCTACTTTTAGAGGAGTGTGCAATTGGGGAACAGGAAAGACTTAAAACATTAGCATTATGTTATCCTTCTTAAAAGGACATAGAAGAATTAAATATACTTCAGTTTTACAAACACATAGCAAATGAATCACTGTGGTTTTTCTGGGATTAGAATAAATCTAAATACTTTAAATTGAAAGACTTAGAAATTGAGTTTAAAGCAGAAAGAGGGATAAAAGGCTAGATCTAAAAAGTACTACACAATGTTATTTATGTTTCTGAAGTGAATACAAAGTTAATATAAGGCACATTCACTTTCTATAACCTTTCCATTTTAAAATATACTCCACAAAATATTAAACATTTAAATGTAAAAACTATTTTAAGATATAGGCCACGAAAGTTTTCAAAACTTTCATGTTACACTCCGTTTTTGTCAGCATTTTCTACTCAGCTTGGAATATATTTAATCTTTTCATCAGTCTGTTTTTGACTTTCCTCAATTCTAAGTGTGTCTTAATTTTTATTTTCTAAAATTTCCATTCCAGATATCCTTAAGCCAGTTCTAACACAGGCTCCTGTACCCATCAACTTTTTCTAAGTTGTTTATTTTTTTTTAATTACTTCACTTTTATCACTGCCTTTTTAGGTCACTGAAAAAGCAGTAAGACTTCAAATCCTAAATTAGACAATTTTTGTGGGCGGAAATTCACAGGGTACATGTTTAGCTTCTACAAAAGAATCACACAACTGCAACCCAGTTCATTTTAAGTACATCATGCTACAGAGGACCAAGGGATATAGCCAGTTTCCAGTGCCAGTTCAAGCTGGTATTGTGTCACAAAAGCAGTGTTGTCCATAATTGCTCAATTCCAATTAATTAACCAATTAAAGCAATAATCGAATAATGTGGTTGAAAGTAAATCCTCCAAGGCTATGCCTCTGGGTCTAATACATCTGAAGCATTCCAGCAGGTAATGTTTCTAAGAAGGAGTTTCCCTCCTTTCAATGTGCTGAGGCAGTGTGGAATAGTGAGAAAAGTCATTGGCATGGAGATACTCTGAGTAACTCCATGATACCAGTCATGGTTCAGCTCGACTGAGCAGTGTGAGTGGGGCAGAATCGCTGATTTTCTAGGAACAACTATTTCAGAGGGGGTGCCGAGCTCCTCTCTCCAGGCTCCTTTGCCCAGATGCAAATAAGACTTCAGCTAATACTTGAAGCTGCATGCTACCTTGAATAATAAAATAGATTAGAAGATACAGAATTGATGTGAAAGTAAGGTTGAAAAAGAGGGCCAAAGAGATGAAATAAGTTCCCCATCAATAACAAGATTGAATCACATTACAGAACCAATTAGAATGGGGATAACAAAGATATTTCAGTGGCTAGGGTGAGAAAATGTTCCCAGGAGAGATCACCTCTATGCATTAGGGAACAGGAAGAATGCACGTTCTGCCTCTTTCAGGAGACAGCACAATTGACAGGAGCATGCGGGTGACAAGATTTTGTTTTTCTAGCTTGGATCTAGCTAGATTTGATTCTGGCCAGTAAGAAAATAATATTAAAAGACAGTAATTCCAGTTATGAGACTACTACCTTCCACGTATAGAGCCATCTGTCATTGAGTGATTCTACCAGTGGCAAGCAGGAAGGGAGGGAACTTGACAACTGTGACCTACCTTCTTTGGTTCCTTCACATACACATACAAATAGGAGTGGTGACACTTACTTAGCTTTCACATTACCTTTTAAGAAATTAAGAAATTTGACAGCTTTGAGTGTGTCTAGTTGGAATTTCTTCCTTCCTTCTATTTTATCCACAGAATGATAATTAAGGTCAACTATCCTAAACCTTCCTCCATAAACTTGTAAAGAAAAAATTTCTGACATCTTTGGTGTACCTTCCATCTGTTAACCCTCATTGTGATCTAAGCAATAAACATGAATTCATACTTCAAAAAAAGAAAAAAACAAGTAAAGAAAAACAAGAATTTCACACTTCCCAATTGCAATTTTCTCGAATCTTAAAATACCGCTACTCTATAAACAAGCAAAAGCTGCAACTGAAAAGAGAGGCAGTAAATTAGGTCATGTCACTCTATGCATCTGTGTTTTGGGGTTTTGGTCCAAAACTGAATACAATATTTCCTGACTAGGCAGTGGCTGGCTTAAAGAACAGAAAATAACTTACAAGTATCTGGTTCAACAAAACAGGAGAGACTTCACTGTTAGTTATAGATGGCCCAAAGCCCTTGAAGTGGGGATGTGCGGCTTGGAGAGGAACAAATACTCAGGTTGGAAGGCCATGTGGTTCTAGTAACAATAGCCATTGCCAGAGACCTTTAAACAATTGAACAAATCTAGTCATTTTCATAGACATGCAGAGTTTAGAAGGTAACTGAGATATCATTTCATTCTCTTCCTCCACTTTCACAGATGAGAAAACTAAGGCCCAGCAGGATTAAATGGTTTGCTTTAGGTGAATTCATCAAGATGCTGAGTTACAAGCAGCAGAAGTTGACTATGGGTGAGTGAGATAGAAAATACATTTATTTAAAGGATACTGGTTAACACAAAGTAACACTGGGAAGCTGCAGTTTACATTGAGATCAAGCAGAGAGAAATGCTACCCAAAACTGTGACTGAGAACTGGTTCTGATGCAGAAACTCCTGCTGCTGTAGCCATGGCCTCAGGAAAGAATTCCCTGCCCCTAGATGCCATATCATTAGTTTCTGGGACACACTGAGGGCTGGTGCCCAAGTCCATAGCTGTAGGGGAATTCTGGGAAATGAGTAGCTGTTCTTTTCAGCGTCTTTTAAATTAAGAGGCACAGTGCTTCTCCTCTCACTCTAAGCAGGGCACAAAACGTTGGAAATTCCTCAGATACAGAAGGCTTTCAGCCTATGGCAGGCAAAATAAAAAACACACATTGACTATGTAACACCTCTCAAGGAGCTAGTGGCAAAATTGGGATTGACTCCTAGTTTAAAACTTTTTCATGATTAAATTGCTCTGAAGTAATCCTTCCTTCCTTCCTTCAACAAATATATATTAAGCACTTACCATGTATGAATCATTGTATTAGGTCCTGGGGACACAGAGAGAAAAAAAAAACATGGTTGTTACCCGCTCAGGTCTCATCAAGTAGTGGTAACAAAGAAAAAAAGGGAAATGAACAAATAATCCCCAAAATAGGTATGAAATCGTAAATTAATTAAAAATTGTGATATGTTCCAAGAAGATAACGTAAAGGCTGCAATGAAACATTGTAATAGGAGGATCTGAATTCAATTTTTGGAAATGCTTCTCTGGGAAGTGACATTTAAGCTAAGAACAGAGGGATGTAATTAATTAATTGGTTTTGGGGGTTTTTTAAAGCAATACAGTTCAACTTTCCCATGAACTGCCCTTAGAGTCCACACAGGGGGTCTTCTGAATCTGATCCTTCAATGATAAATAACATTTGATGAGTTATAAAAGGGAGGAGTCATTTAAGGGAAATGGAGCTTTATGTTTAAGAGTTTTAGAAAGATTTCACAGTCAATGTAAAAGAGCAAAGTGAAGCAAAATGCCCTGTCAGGTATAAAAGAAACAGAGGCCCTAGAGCCAGAGTTCAAGGGACCTCTTAACATTCATCAAGGTAATTAGATTAACTTAGTTTATTCAATTATGTATTTATTCAAGTAATCTTGATTAAACAGCTAGCAGGTGCCACGCTGTAGGGTCCAGTGGCAAACAGGACCCACAGCATTTTCCTTTGCCTCACTTACTGTCTTACAAAAGAGAGCTATAAACATGTGATTCAGTAAAATATGACCAGTGTCACTAAAGATAAAGTGCCAAGTGCTCTGATGGCTCATACATAGCAGGTGGACTTTAACCAGGGAGAATCAGGAGGGCTTTCTGGTATAAATAAGGGACACTAAGAGAAATTCAGGTGCCCAGGGGATCTGTATCATAACTGTAGACCTGGAACATTGTAAATGACTGATGTGTGTTAAATGAATTACTATGAAGTACCAACATGTATAGCATAATAATATTTAGAAAAACTAATTCATGCTTCTGGGATTGTCTTCCTGTCATTGTACTGAAACTGCCTTTGCAAAAATTGTATCAGTAAGAAAAACTACAACAGTGAACTGAGCTGTTCTAACACCCCCATCTTGACTTTCCTTTAATTATTCCTGGGATTGGGTGCCAGGCTGACTTTGAGAGACATTTAGGCTCAAGTTTAAATGATAACAGGCCTTTCCCCAAATTCAAGCACTTTTGAAAAGCTAATGGGAAGCTGTCAAACTGGGGGAATGGGAGGACACTGAGTTCTGCTAAGGTGCAGACCTAAATGATTGTCAGCCATTATTCTGGAGGTTACAAGATATGCAACTTCCCCAATTACTCCTGCAAATAACATCAGTATTGTAGAACCTCAGATTGGCCTTTTGAGATATCTTTTCAAGTTTTTTGCATGTCTGACACTCATAGCTCCACCTGGACCCCAAGGCTCCTGTGGCCCCACCTGGGCAGACGCAGCTCAAGAGGAGAGCTTCCACCCCCTATGATTTCATTCCCAACCCAACCAGTCAGTAGCAAGCACCCATTGCATAGCAATCCCCACCCCTTCACCCAAACAGCCTTTGAGATACCCCTCACTTACAAACTTTGGATGAAATTGATTTGGGTACTAACTCCATTTCCCATCTGGCATGGCTGGCCTCATGGCTATTAAACTCTTTATTGTAATGCCATGGTCTTTCTTTGTGCAGCAGGCAGGAAGGACCCCTCAGGCAGTGACTCTACCATTCCCCTTATTTAATCAGTAGCAAGAGTATTCACTGCATTGTGTGAAGATTTTTAGAAGCAAAAGTACCTAAAGAAGTAAAACCTTCATTTCCCAGCTTCTAAGTTTTAAAACAGAAATTTGAAACTCCCAGGAGAGAAAATAATTGAGAAAAAGGGTTTTGAGTGTGGGGAAAAAAAGTGACTTTGAATATCCACAATTAGAGGCTTAAAGGACTCAGGGCATTAAGATTACTGTGTGAGAAATTTAGAGGATGTACATGGAAATAAGAGCCAGTTTTCCCACTCCCAAATAGGTACAGGACCTACACCCTGAAGGCAAGTGGGGACATCAGAGGAGTTGGTAACCTACCCTGAGAAGGTGTCCTGAACCTACCCCACTGAGCTGAACACCAAAGGCCCGGGGTCAGGGTGGAAGAACAACAGAACTCTCAGGGATGTGAAAGCAGAAAACATGTGCCTCACTTCCCAGGGCCCCAGCCAAGACCCAAGATGCACCGGAAGGGTTGCAGCGGAAGGGTGGGGAAGTAGCTTACAGTGCTGATGAGCCTAAAGATGACTTATAGTTGGAACAACAAAGATGCAAAGTGACCCATGAAAACTATAACTAAGACCACAAGGAACCCTAAATATCTCAGCAATGCCAGGGTCAATGAATGACAACACCCAGACCAAGAGTCCCCAACCCATTAGCACTGGCATTGTGAAAACCTTCCTGAAACTTTTAGGTAATCCTGGGAAGAAGAGAGAAATTACTGATTTCACTGAATTTATCTTGACTGTCCAATAAGAAATCAGTTTTACAAGGTCAAATGCAAGCATAGAAATGAGCTTATGCTGAGTCATAGAAATATAATCATATGTATATGTATATCATGTATATCATGTATATCATGTGTGTGTGTGTGTATATATATATATATATATATACATCACACCTCTGTTTATAGCCTGTGAAATTTCAGGCTGCTACAAAAGTCTAGCAAAACCATCATTTTTAAAAATTAATTAGAAAAAAGCTACAAAGTAGAGAAAGGTTTGCAGACAGAATGCCAACTTTTAGCTTCACGAGATCAGACCGGCAGAATACTGGCCCCAGTCATAACCCAGCTAGAAATAATTAAAGTACACAGAAAACTAAATGATTTTGATCTCAGAATCCCGTAAGGTAAACTTTAAGTAATCAGCTTTTAGACCAGGCTGTTCTGAAAATCAGAAGTACCAAGAGAGCAAGCAATTTGACAATCCTGAGCAGTAGCTAAATGAGCAAAAAGGTTTCTAAGGCTGTGGAAGGGCCCAATATAAGGCAGTTTCTACTTATTTTTACTCAGTAGAAAAATCAAGGTCAAAATTGAGTAGTAGTTAAAAATAGTTTCAATTTAGTACTGAAGATGTCACAGTAGTTATGTTTGTTTCTCAGTATCAGTTAAATTTTGTCTTACATTTTCTGCACAAATATTAATAATTAGAAACACTTGTGTTTATGTTATTTTAATATAGATTTATATAAATAAATGAAATATAGACATATTAATATAATATTACATATTATGTGATATCATTAAGTATATAAATTAAAAGAATATACATATATATGTAACAAAATTATATATATATGTATTCCTACACTTCATTTAACATTTCTTTGGTTAATCTGGTCTAGAGTGAGCCTAACTATTTGATCTACCCAGTCCAAGTCAAGCGGAATAATACAACAAATCAAATTAAATGGGATATGTGCTGAGCTATACCTCATATGTATAATGACCTTCAAAAGCATTGACTCATATGTATAATAAGTTCTAGAAGTACTGACTGGTCTAAACATTGACTAGGTTCATTTTTCAATATGGGTTGAATTTTGGCTTAAATTTTCTGCACAAATATTAATAATTAGAGATGTTTGTATTTAGGTTATTTTAATACAGGTTTATATAAACAAATAAAATATAGACATGTTCTTAATATAATATTACATATTATGTGCTATAATATCATTTAGTATATAAATTAAAAGAATATACATAACAAAATTACACATATGTATTCCTACACTTTGTTTAACATTTCATTTAACCTGATCTAGGGCAAGCCTATTTGATCTACCCAGTCCAAGTCAAGCAGAATAATAACAAATCAAATTAAATGGTATATGCTGAGCTGTACCTCATATGTATAATGAGTTCCAGAAGCATTGACTAGACAAGCTTCTCACTCCTCAAGAATACACAAGAGGACAAGATGCTAGAATGTGAGGGGGTCAAGTTGAGCAGTTCAACTGACAGGAGAGAAGATGATGGGTAACAAACTGGGAGAAACTGAAGAAGAGCCTCATGGCAATCAGGACCCAGATTTATTGAGCAAGGCCAACAAAGTGTCAAGGCCAATGACATAATAGGGGATGGAAAACAGAGAGGTGAGGGGGATGGCAAGAAGAAAGCACATTTTGAGACATTTCAGCAACTGTATGCAAAGTAAACTTCGACGTCACATACCAGTGTGATGAATGTCTGCACATCATTTCTTGGGCACACTTCCATAAACTACTGAAAAGCAAATTTTTCATCATTGGTACATTTGCCCAGTTTCTAAAATAGTACCTGGTACAAAGTAGGATTTTGATTAAATATAATTCAACTTTAACTAGGATTGATTTATTTAAATTTCTTTTTTGAAAGATGCAGGTAAGAGCTAAAGGGAGAGCTAGAAATGAAGAACCTAACTCATAATGCTTCATTTTATGAAAATATTTTCCTACTTTATAGCCAATTATAAGACAGAAGAAGTTCATGCTTCCTGAGTCTGCATTTTTGTCCAAGAACTGTTCTATTATTAAGCTATCAGTATAGATTTAGAGTGATGAAAATATCCCTCAAAGCTTCCTCTACTTGGCATGTAGAGTTTGAGCATAACAGTCAACTGGAGCCATCAGGAATCTAGCTCACAGTATGTGATATGGTTTGGCTGTCCCCCCACCCAGATCTCATCTTGAATTGTAGCTCCCATAATGCTCATGTGTCATGGCAGGGACCCAGTGAGAGGTAATCGAATCATGGGGGCAGGACTTTCTCATGCTGTTCTCATGATAGTGAATAAGTCTCACAAGATCTGATGGTTCTATAAAAGGGAGTTCCCCTGCACATGCTCTCTTGCCTGCCACCATATAAGACATGACTTTGCTCTTCATTTGCCTTCTGCCATGATTGCTAGGCCTCCTCAGCCATGTGGAATTGTGAGTCAATTAAATCTCTTTCCTTTATAAATTATCCCATCTTGGGTACATCTTCATTAGCAGTGTGATAGCAGACTAATACAATATGCAACCAAGAGATCTTTGTATAACTCCAAAAATTCTGCAATTTGGAGAGAGGCATATTACCAGAACCAAGTCTCTGACTTACTAAAAAGCCATCTCTTATCTGGGGGAAACTGTGTTTCTCTGGGTCCCTGAGACTAGTGGTCTCCAAAGTGAACATGAGAATACTCGAGGGTAGGATACCAATCAACGTGATTGATTGGGATACAGGAAGAAATAATTATAACTTCAATCTACCTTTATTTTTATCTTTAAAATAGAAGAGAAAATTTGGGGGGTTAAATTAGGGGGTGCTAATATTTAATACAAAGCTTGATGGTATTACCTGTATGTCATTTATATTGATGGCATGTGTTGGAAAATATTTTTTCAGTACAAGGGCAAAAAATCATGAACATGTGAAGACCACTGCTTTAGACTTTACCAGTAATTCCTAACAGGCATAAGGAAAAAGGAGAAACCATGGTTGCTCTAACACCTTCTATGCACCAGATGACAGAATAATATACTTTATCTCTTTGAATTCCCACCGTAACCCAATAAGACAGATATCACTATTCCTGTTATGCAAGTGAGGAAATAGGGATTCAAGAAAGCTAAATATCTAGTTCTAGGTCACAAACTTGGCAGGTACTGGTGATGGGATTAAACTCTAGTCTTGTTCTTTTCCTTACTCCACAATACCTAAAGAACTGTCACCTCTGAAACTACCGTTTACCAAGGTACTCAAGCCTGCAGAAACTGCTCGTGTTCATAACACAAGCTTCCCATGGGAAAGCACACATGGTAAACTCTTACTCTATAAATAATTCAAGTGGTAGAATGTCCCTAATGATGTCCCAAAGTCCATGCAACGCAGAAAATACTGTGAGGCATTGTATGATTCATAAAAGTTATTCTTATTACTGAAATAATGAATATGAATCAATAGTACCCTATTCAGCAGAGCAGATAAGCCCCAAATTGATGGGTTATACAAATTTTGTAGATATTGAAAATGTGTGTGTGTGTGTGTGTGTGTGTGTGTGTGTGAGAGAGAGAGAGAGAGAAGAGAGAAGTGGGGGTACAGAGACAGAAAGAGGAGAGAGATACCACAAAGAAAGGCTTAGACAATCATCAACGAAGTTCAGAATTACGTAAAGAATAGAGATTCTAAGTTCTCTCAGTCTCCAACGTTCCCTATCCTTTGTACCCTATGAAGTTGTAAGTAGTCAGAAAACACATGTGTAAAATATTAGTGCACTTACCTTTGTCAGTTTCATTTCCAGCACATGGCTGCTATGGATCCGACTGTCGAAATGAGCTACTTCTTTGGAAGAGGACTTAACCTTGGCAATGATCTTTACGTAGGAGAACACGATCACAGCCGTTGGGAGCAAGAGGCAGAAGAAGAGGATGTTCAGGATGAAAACCTGGCCCCCTACCGAGGCCTGGGCCAGCCACCAGTCCAGGGTGCACGAGGTTCCGAAGGGCTCAGGTACGTAGTCCCCCAGACCTACCAAGGGCATGGTGGTCCAGAAGGAAGCATAGGCCCAGATGGCTGCCAGGCAGATGTAGGCGTGCTTTCTTTTCAGCCAAACCCCTGGAGGCGGAAGAAAAGCATTACCCGGATGTAATCTGCCCTACACCCAGATACCTCCCCTCGATATGTCAAATTCCACCTCCAAAGATTTATTCCATTGATTTCTGGGAGACCTGGGCAGATAACTGAAGCCTGAGGGAGAGTGGAGTAAACGGAAAAAAGTTCCAGAGCTTGGGCCTTTCTCCAGGAGAACACAATTGGAAGGTTTTCTCTAGGCATCTGGGAGCTTTGGGAGGGAGAAGTGACAACAGCTGGGAAAAGGGACAGGAAAGAGATGAGAGGATGCTGAAGACAATGGAGGCCCTTGAGAAAACATCTCGGAAAGGGTGTGTTAGTGGATCATCCAGGGAAAATCCTTCTGGGAGGTGAGGAAGCACAAAACATGGCTTGTGTCTTTAAAACGCCCTTCCTGCTAACAGCTTTTGTGTTGCTAGTCTTATCTGGCTTCCTAAGAACTTGTGGAAGGGGCTTGGTGGCTCGTGATCATGACACTATGGTTTGAGATTAAAGTCCTTGACTGTGTTTAGTAATTTGTGGAGCAGGTTTGGAATCTTCAAACGTCATTCACACAACAATCGCGCTCACACAGCCACAGCGGGAGAGGCAGAGAATCTAGGTAGGTTGCATCATGTTCTGCAAAGTAATTCTGTGAAGATATTTTCAGGAAGACAAAAAATGAGCTCCGTTTTTCAGCACTAGTTTCTGTTAACCAAAAGAGAATTCCAAGCGGAGGAAATAGTGCAGTCATCTAAGAAAAGCTGTAAAGCACTAGTGATCATTTTCAGAATTCAACACAACCACCAAAGACAGGTCGGCCTGATTTAGTGCAGCAGCCTCCACAGGAAATTACCTTCACACCTCACTCATCACCTCGAACGAAGAGGGCCAGGAAAGTGACTCTTTACTGCCTTGGTTTTGTGTTAGCAGAGAAGAAATATCAAAATATATTCAACAAAAGCTAAATGATTACTTCAATATAGACTCAGGGCCTGCCTCTGCTTAGTGCAATGTGAGGTTTGGAAAGTCGGTCAGGCCTAATTCTTCTATGTCTAGTCTTTGACTGACCTTGTGCATGCAAGACTATATTGCATATGGGTTAAATAAAATAATGTAAGGGGCCTGCTTTGCAAACTAGAAAGTGCTATATTAACATGAATTATTTTACTCCTGTGTAAGTGTATCTCATTTAGCGCTAATAAGAAATATAACAGATTGTTTCTATACTCTATTGTCTCCATTTTTTTCAAATACATGGCATTTTGTGTCATGAAATGCAAATTTCATGCCCAACCAGATAGGGGTGGCAATCATGTAGCCACAATATAAGTCAGCTCTTGTTTCTCCACTAAAACTGATAAAACATTGGCACAGGTAATCACATATATTCATGGGAATGTGCATAGGCATACGTATAAGCATTTATGGTTAGGGTTACTTGTGAGGTGTTTTATACTTACATTCCAGTATGGTGAAAGGCTGTCAAGTACAGGAGGGAGTAGATTAGTAGATTGGTTCTGTGTTGCTCCAGAAGTCAGAACTAGGACCAATGGGTGGAGGTTACTGGGAGGCAGTTTTGTCTTAATATAAGGAATAACATTGTAACAATGAGAGCAGACCAATCAGAGAATGGGCTGCCTTGTGCAGTAGTAAGCTCCCCGTCACTGGTCACTGGAATTATTCAAGAAGAGGCCAAGTGGTCATCTCTCAGGGATGCCTTAAAACAGTTTACCACGTTACATGGGAGAAAAGTCTACACATCCCCAAGCGACCTTCTAATTCCAACATTCTGGGACGCTGTGTGGAGGGTTTAATAGTGCATCAGATTAAATGATGAAACCACACTACTGAGGTTCAACCTTAGAAGAAGCTGGAAAATATACACAGTTCCCACATATGGAGTTATGACCTGCAATGATCCTGGCAGTGGGCGGCATCATCTCTTTAACTGACAAAGCCTAAACTCAAGAAAATATTTAAAAACAGAGGTATCAGGGTTTAGTATTCCTCAAACACTCTCAGGAAGTTTAACTTTTTTGCCTTCTTATCTATAAAATCTATAGTTAAATTTAAAATCTCTTTGGTATGAACAAAAATAAGTCTATAGAAAGAATTAGATGTTGACGTCACACAGAATATGTATAGTTGTATATTTTATATCTTACTGGAAATTTTGATTCAAGCTATTTCTATTGGAAGTTTTAAATGTTTAAAAAAGGAGATGTAAACTTTAAAAAAAAAAAAAAAAACGTAGTGCTGGATGATGAAGAGAATGGCTCACAAGCCCCCGCCTCCCACCCACCCAAGCATGGATTCTTTGGAGTTTGGGGATGTAAACTATAACAATACAAAGGGAAATTCTACCACATTGACAGTGTCAGGTCAACTTGATTTTTCCCACCTCAGTCTCCAGGCCCTGCTCTGACACCACAGTCTGTCGTCCATCACAACCACTCTAATTGACAGATTGACAATCAAAGCAACTTTATCCAGAGGAAGTCAGTACTGTTCCTTGGTTGTGCCTGGTTCTCAATATTAAACTTAAAGACCCAAATGCAATTCTTTCAGGTTTGATAAATTCCGAGAGCTCCAACAAACAAATGTAGTAGAAATTATTTTTAACCTGTAGAATGGTCTAATCATTAAAAAACATATATTTAGTCCCTGGAAACTTATTTTCTGCTGATTCACCAATTCTTGTAATCACTCATCTTTCTACCAACCAACACCACAAAAAAAAATATGTTGAGTGATATTTCTACATGTGTGTCCTTTCATGCAGAAACAGCTACATGACTCTAACTTGGAGGTGAACTTTTTGGAATTCCTTATCTCTGAAATCACAGGGAGCGTGAGTCCTAAGGGAGAATCTTAAACAGCTTTTCTTATAATTACACTTCCTAGGTGGGGAATGAGCTAAACATCTTGGACTTAACACCCTTTCGATGCACTTTATTTCTTTTGTTTGCGTGGGAAACATGATGGAAGCTTACACACTATACAAGAAAATGGTACTTTTTTAAAGCATTATAACCAAACACCAGACATTACTATAAAATATGTATTAAAAGAAATCTACTTTGACATAGGTTAAAATCCTTAAACATGTCAGAACAAGATGATAGGCTATAAATAGAAATATTCTTGATCTCTGAGGTTATTCATAATCTTTGTTTATTACCTGCATAAAATATGTACAGTTCTAACACTCAATCCACCTAGCTTTAACTGTCAGGGAATGAGAAACCTGCCAACTTACCATAAGATAAATAGCAGATTTTCAAATATCGATCCAGGCTGACAGCAGTCATGGTGATAAGGCTTCCACAGCCAAAGAAAAATCCAGCCCATCCATACCAGCGGCAGCCGATCCAGCCAAACACCCAGCGGTGACAAAAGCAAGAGATGATGGTGAACGGCTTGCCTACAACTAGAGCACCAAGTGACTTGTCAACAGACGTTCCTCTGGTTACTATTTCCCCACCTACCTCAACTCACCTGAACCTCCTCCCCTAAAGCACGGGGACACATGTGAACGCACACACACACCCTTGATTACACAGATTTCCTAGATTAATAAAAGCCCAGCAGTTATCTATGAATAAACTCAGTTTGAAGCTACCCAGAGAGGACTTTCAGTCATCCCAATAGCCAAAGACAGTGAAAGGATATAGAAGGAAAACTTTAAAGTAATTATTACTTTTGAAAAAACTGTCTCAAAGAGACCTGGCTTCAGGAATTACAGACATGATACTAGTAGCCAGTGACAACGATCTGGTCACTTTTAACATGTTGTTGCAGTCTTTCATTCGAAGGCTTAGAGAAAGGGGAAATGAATAAAATCTCTGAGAGAAAATACACTCTTCAAGCACAACTTTTCTATTCTAGAGAAGTTCTTTCTCACACTAGTCTGTTAAGATTTTTTTTTTTTTTACCAGAAATAGATGTTAAGTTTTATTAAATGCTTTTTTGGCATCTACTGAGGTGATCATAACATTTTTTCTCATGGAATCAGTTAATGCTGGTTATTAATAGATTTGTTTTTGAAACATACTTACATTCCTGGGACCAATGCAACTTTTCTTAATAATAAAACTTCCAGAAAATTGTCTCAATGAATAGAGGAAAGAAGAGATGGAGAAAGAGAAAATGAAGAAAAGGAGGAAAAAGACAAAAATAATATGCAAAACAGTGATTTCCTTCCACCTCATCCTCCTCCAAGTGGGGCCTTTTAGAACCTGTATAAGGCATGAGATTCCTTATAATGAAAAGGGGAATTTGGTTTTTTTCTTTCTTTTGGAAGCTGCATCCTTCTAGGAGGAATATGGTTTCTAACACCCCAAGATAACCTTGTACTTTAGGAGTTAAGTGTCTATGAAAGGGTTTGGGAGGGGAAAGAGAGAGGTTATATATCAGAGAAAGCCTTAATTAGAGAAGCAGTGAACTAGCTACTGTGAATATAGAAAAGGAGGAGGTTTAATAGCACTCTGGAGAATAAAGATTATAAAGAGCACTGGAGAAAGAAAGTGTGAGTTTCAAACACATTTTAAAGAATGATGTAGACAACTTTCTCTGAAATGTGAATTTGTCCTTTTATTTATTTAAAAAATAGAACATATTTAGTCTTTTACTATTACCTTGTTACTATCAATGAATAAAAAGTCCTTAAGAAACCCCAGAAAGTTGAGTATTCACAGGGAAGCAATAGGATGGGGGAGGTGAAGGAGGGAGGATAATTATATAGCCCAGCAATTTTCATGTGTTCATGCCTAGACCAGAGAGGATTCATGGAGCTCCTCTATGAGAGAGAGACACAGAGAGAGAGAAAGAGAGAGAGAGTGTCCCCTGAAGGGGAAGTAGGTAGGTCATTTAGGGAAAGAAATATTAAGCAACCAAGGTTCCATGCTCCACCTTCTGTCAATCAGGAAAGATAATTTTTTTCACCTGTTTTATATATTCAGCTTCTAAGTCATGCTCTTTTTCAAAGAAAAAAATTCACTGTTTTAAAAAAATTGTTTAGGAATTTTATTTTAAAATCCTTTTTGTTAAGGTTAGAACCAGATTTCCACATTTCCTTCTGTTTCAGTTGTTTCTTTTTTTCTTCTTCTGTTAAGTTATGTCTTATTCAAATACGGTATAGCTATTTCAGTAAATGTGAGGTCCAAGCTGTTTACAACCAGATCCAGATTTCTGGGATTTAAACTATTTATTCCTTGACCCTCCATTAGAATTTTTTTTTTCACTTTCTAGAAAGCATTCTTCTACTTTTACCTCATAACCTGTAGCCCTCCCTATTCAGTCCTCACCACACCCCCCACAAAAAAAAAAAAAAATTACTGAGGAAGCTCTTCAAACCTCTAACTGATCTATATCACAAAAGAAGGTTCCCTAACCTTAATGTTTTAGGAAAGCTAAGTAACTGACATTCACAGCCTGCAGGTGCTAGCTCCCAGCTCTCCCAGGTGTGTTCCTCTATGGTTTACAAAAGTATTCAGGAGTTCCTGTTAGTTCGGTGAATCAACACATATTCACTGAATGCCTTCTGCAATCTAGACACACGTCTCCTCTAGTTGTCTAGATGGTTAGTGCCATCTTTCAGCTTGCTAGACTAGGTGCCCTCATATGACAGCCTCCTAATTCCAATGAGTCCACAAGGAAATGGAGTGTAAAATAACTATTTAGGTTTGTGGGGTTTTTTTCCATTCAACAACAAATTTTTCAATGCCTGGTATGTAAGAAACACAGAGCAAGGTGCTAGAGGACAAAGTGGAGATCAAGACTGACAAGTTTATTTTCTAACAGGTAAAGCAGACAAAAAAAAAAAACACCTAAATTTGTAATATAAGATGTGGTATGACAGAAAGATAGGTAGTGATTAGTACAATGAAGGAAAATAAAGCAGAGAAAGCAGGTAGATGGAAACTGTTGTTTTACATAAAGACATTAAGGAAGACTTCTCTGAGATGTGACATTTAGGTAGATACCTAAATCAGTGGGAAAGAAGTCAAATAAACTTCTGGAGGGAATGGATTAGAGGCAGAGGAAACAGCAAACTAAAAGGCTTGAGGTGGGTGTCAGCCAGGTGGGTGCTAAAGGCAGCAAAAAGACAAGTGAAAGTGACAGAATGGAGTAAGATTACATCTGTTGTGCCTGGGATCCTGATTAGCAAAAGCGATTTCAGGCTTCCTTCTTCAGTAGAGCTTTGGATTAAACTTTGGGGTGTCATCTAGAATGTCTCTCTTCCACTTAGTAGAATGTTTCCAGAACCCGGCTGCACTTTAGAATCGCTGGACGGATTGTTTTGCTTTGCTTTGAAATATCAACATCCAGGGTTCCATCCCTCCCCACAAACCTCCCAATATTGTTATTTATCTGGAGTGAGTTCAGGCATTATACATATTTTTAACACCACCACCGCCCCCCCCCAGGTTATCCTAATATAACACGACTTTATCCTAAGAGGTTATCCTAATATAACACGTGTATATAATACACACGACTGGGAGCCCTTGATATTTAGTCAACAAGTATTAGTTGCATAAATGCCATACATCTGGCCTCCAGGAGGTGCTTATAATGGAATATAGCTGAGCCAGAAAAAAATAAAGCAGGCAAAGTTTTAACGTTTATTGGAAGGGAAAATGCATTATAGATGTTCCAAAGTTGAAAAAAATGATCTGGGTTAGTGAAACCTGTTGTATGAAAGAAAGTGGTTTCTGGTGAATTACTCTGAAGACGTAAGCAGAGTAATGAGGTGGTTTGCACCATTCTAGAGCCGACTTGCTTGGCTGAGAGCATATTTCAACGCACCAGGCCAATTAAGGACATTTTTATTCAAGCCTAGTCTAGTTCAGCAATGAGCCTGCTATTATTCACCGATGAAGGATGTAGCTGGAATGACATGTTTCATTCAGGCATGTTACGCTCAATACCAGGTAGAGCACCTTAGGGGCCCGCGAGGCGAGCTGGCCAGGAAAGCTACCGTTCCTGTTGCGACAGCGCCATCGCGTGGCAACAGGTAAAAATGGCAGCCATTTTGCAGCCTCACAAATCCCCTGGGGTTCGTCCTGTTTATTTTCACAAAACCAGGCATGTCTTGCTCTTCTTAATGTGCGTGTGCATTCACCATAAGCGTTCATAATGTTTATGCAGGTCCATACTGAATAAAGCCTTCCCAGATAACCAAGACCATCCAAACTCTGAGTAAGCACACATCTGCTGTGTGCTAAAGAGTGACTCAGAATGCGGAGGATTATTATTGAGCCTTGTTTTTAGAGATCGGCAGAAAAATCCACTTGCGAAGAGAGAAACAAATATCGGAAAACTCTTTTTTTTTAATTAAGGTCTCACTTTTTCACCCAGGCTGGAGTGCAGTGGTAGTACCATAGCTCACTGCAACCTTGAACTCCTGAACTTGATCAAGTGCCCAGCTATTTTTTATTTGTTTTGTTTAGTTTTACCCAATACCCAGACTTCAAGGATAAATTTGTTTTGTAGAGATGAAGTCCCACTACATTGCCCAGGCTGATCTTGAACTCCTGGCCTCAAACTTTATACCCATCTCAGCCTCCCAAAGCTTTGGGATTACAGGTGCAAGCCACTGTGCCCAGACACGAAATATTTTTTAAAGGAGGCTTTTGACGGGAAACTACTAACAAGTTTCTAATGGTAAGAGGAGCTGCTGTGTACTGTTCAAACAAATTACCCTACTCTAATGACCTAAAACCATAAGCTAAATAGCAGATGTTGGGATTCAAAGACAGATTAGAGTCCATCTAAGCAACTCTGAAGTTGTATAGAAGAAAGTGAAGAATGATTTACTTAAAATGGTTCATATTTTTTAAATTGAATTATAGTGAAGGAGAAATTTTTTTCCAACTCCTTGCCATGTTATTAGAGAAGTGAAAAAGAAGCCAGTGGTTCTCAATTTTGGCCACACATTAACATACCTGTAGATTCTCATTTTAAATATCCTGATGCCCAGGTAACACTCTCAACGACTTAATTCAGAACTTCCCCAGATGATATTTTGTGAGTTGCATTTGAGGACCACTGAACCAGAAGCTTCCTATGCTTGTGATATGTCACTAAGTCATGATTACATATATCATCAGCAGGGCACCTCTTTCCTCTTCCTACATTCACCTCTCAACTGCCTTCAACTGTCTTCAACTGTCATTTACCCTTCAAGATTCCTTTGTTGATGTTTATTTTAATCAGACTTCCATAAGGGTTGAAGAGGTGTAAAGAAGCTTAAAATACTGACCTGGGATTTGCCTCCTGATTTCTGATTTCTGAATCATTTAGCCCACTACACTTTGAGACATCTGAGGTATCACATATTATTTCAAATTGTGCCTTCAGCATCTAACATGCCTGACACACAGAAAAGACTCAATAAATATTAAATGAATAATCTTGTCAGCCGGACAGCACCCCATTGACTTACCACAAAACTCTGAAAGTTGATTTGTGAAGCGAAGAGTGGAAGGAGATGTGAAGGGAAGAGATGTCAGGGGGTGACGTTTGAGACAGTGAGTACTTTAGAATGGGGAGTAGTTTAAACCCACAAAGAAAACACAGCATGGTTGTGTTACCTGAAATCCCCAGATCACAGACTGCTAAATTGATAGTCATTATTTCAGCGGGTCTCAGCTTCTTCTTTCGTCTAGAAGACATGTAAAGGACATATCCATTTCCAAATGTGGACAGAATCCCTACAAGGAAAAATAAAAATTCCAATCGTTAAAACTAAGATTTCGAGTTCACTCAGATATGAAACACTTCTCAACTTCAAAAATGGACACCATAGATTTAGAGGGTAGTGAGAGGACTCTAAATAAAAAAATCTAAATTAAGAAGATGAAATAAAAAGCATGAGTTGTGAGTGACAGGCCAATGGGGCAGGAGTCAGGGATTATAAGACTGAACTTACCCAGAAAAAGGCATCGCTAACTTCCCCGCGAGGCTCAGGAAAGTGTGGGAATCCCAATGGTCAGTTCTTGTCCTGGCCCCCAGAGTGGAGTACTTTCCTCAGCCATTTTTATAGATTATTGGCTTTATAGAACTCCCTCCCTCTGATCAGTAGGGTTAAACCCTTAGCTCTTGATAAATTCTGAAGATGAAGCCAACCAAAGAAGGTGCCTTCAGTATCACTGTCAACTCCTAAGGGAGCACCAGTGTTCAGGAGAGGCAGAGGCCAGGTATGACTGGCATAACTCCCTTCAAGAAAATGGACATCTCCCAGAGACGCCCCAGGACTTCCGCCTCTTTGGGAGACATGGACACTGAGTGTCTGGCAGATAGGACAGCCTTCAGCTGCTACTGGACTAGATATCAAGGGTAAGTGGGTGACAATCGAGAACCTGGGCACTGTCCCTCCCACCAAGGGGAGAGAAAGTGACCCTCAACCCACCGAACCTACCAACAATGCCATAAGTGTGTTCCCACTTTTTCATATCCTTTTATTAATGACTAGTTGCCTTTGGCATTACAATGAAACTGTTCGAAAGTTCTTACAAACCCAGTTTAAATCCAAAAAGACCCAATCCCTACTGACTTTATTTAAGAAAAGAATACACCTACTTCCATAGCTTAACATGTAGAGTAGATTTCTTCAGGAATTCTTGCTTCATAGTGTAGCTGTGTATAAATGAGAATCTGGTACAGCTGCCTTTAGTAGTAAGGAATAAGGAGAGTATTAACAGGAGAAACCCAGAGTTTTCTATTTTAATTTCTACTTCTCCACCACAATTCATTTTGGGGGCAAAGAAAGAAATGTGTGATTCAGCTGATGGTATGAAACCACCAGGAACTAACTGCATTGTGCTCTTAGGAAATTCTGACTCCCTGGAGTCAGTGCTGCTTAATGGTCCATTAAAACCTCTTTAGCTTTCATAAAGCAGAAGAAGAGAAAAATAAAAGAGATTACGGAGTTCCAGAGCAAACCAACTAAAATGAAACAGGTCTCACTCAAGGAAACCAGCTAGGAAAGCAAAATGTGAAAACGTGGCTTGAAAAAGTATAAACTTAATGCCACCTACTTTGTATCCAAAAAGAGTAAAAACAAGTATCCATTTTCGTTTGATACACAAGGCTCATTGAAACACCTTTCATCTGTCTACATCTCTTTTGAAAATATTTGTTTTCTTACTTTTCCTTCCTTAAATTTTCTTTACTGACCCTGCTTCATAAGGTTTCACCCAGTGCCCAAAGCATTATCAAAAAATAGTCACCTCTCTATTCATTGCATGTAAATTATTCTAACAAGCAATATATATATGTTATAGATGAGTGTCAGGAAAAAGCAAATTTATTCTTAATATTACTGAAAAGACAACCAGATTAAGAAGATAAAGACCAAAGTGGGGACACTTTTAGATTATCAAATCCTATATCATTTATGGATACAAAAATATCATATATATTAACTGTTAATAAACTCAGTATTTACAATAATAGTAAAAGTGTGGAAGGTAGAAAATGGGTTTGTAATTTATGTCTCCTGTATTTCAAACTCAGATTTATATTGTTATCTTTCCATTGTCTCTTAAGACTTCTAGTATTTAACAAAGCCCACCAAGAATGTTTATTCCACTCTGGCTCCTTAAAAGCAATCTGGACACACACATCTTGGCCAGGCGCGGTGGCTCACGCCTGTAATCCCAACACTTTGGGAGGCTGAGGTGGGCAAATCACTTGAGGCCAGGAGTTCAATACCAGCCTGGCCAACATGGCGAAACCCCGTCTCTACTAAAAAACACAAAAATTAGCCAAGCATGGTGGTGCACACCTGTAGCCCCAGCTACTCAGGAGGTTGAGGCACAAGAATTGCTTGAACTTGGGAGATGGAGGTTGCAGTGAGCCGAGATCGCACCACTGCACTCCAACCTGGGTGACAGAGTGAGACTCTATGTCCAAAAAAAAAAGGAATCTTGCAACATCTACACTAGCCTATTCTAGGAGAGTGAAAACCAGACACACGGCCAAGTCCAAGAAGTGGATCTAGGGTGAGTCCAAACCCCTCCAGTCGACCCCTCTCCTCACCCTGCGTGACTGTTCTCTAACATACCATTGGCTCCACCTCCTAGTGCCCTGATCCTCCTGAAGCTCCCCCTGTCCAGGGACTCTTTTTCAACCTGTTTTTCTGGCTCCATCTCAGCAAACCCACTGGAATATGATTGTGGACTTTCCTTCCAACTCCATGTGTATCAGGTGGGAAATTCTCCTGATTTCCTCACCCTGGTTGCAATCCTCCTGCAATCCTCCCTGCTTAAGATTGGGAATGGACTGATAGGCCTCTCTGTTTTGTGTTGTCTGGAGAGATTTGTCAGGTTATTGATGTTACTTTTTTAATTCATTCCTTGAAAGTGATGGAGCTATGCTAAATACAATTGATCAAGTTGCTTATTTTTCTGCCTTTTCTGTTAATTGAAAGTACTTAAGTTTAATAAAAATGCAATGTGGATTTTACAGAGATAAGACAGTTTCTGTTCCAGCAGAATGTTTGCCCATTTTATTCTCTGCTCTATTCCCAGCAACTTAAAACAGTGGCAAAGAGTGGGCGCTCAATATATATTTATGTTGAAAAGAGATGGGGACTCATTTATAAGAAACAGAATTTAAACTAGTAAAACACTAACAACAATAAAGACAAAGACCCAGGGAATCACTTTACAGCAGAATTTGGTTGAATCACATGAGTTCCTTTTGCCTCAAGTACTGACCATAGAGGGATATCAAGTATTTTCTAATGAGTTTTGCTACTTTCAGGAGGTTAAATGAAATTCTTAGCCAGTAATAAATAGATGAGAGAGGGAGAAAAAGAGAGAAAGGGAGGAAGGGAAGAAGGGTGGAAGAGAAAGATAGAAACAAAGAGAAAAGAGAGAGAGAGCAAGTTTGACCCAACATCTGAAAAAATTAAAGGCAAACAAACCTAAAGACATAACCCACCTTCACACTGGTCACCCAAAGTTAAAACAACAATTTTAAATTTAAGAAAAGTATGGTTTCTTTTCTTAAATTTAAATAGGTGGTTAAATTAAATCCTAACTGTCTAGATTAGTGCTATCCAGTATAAATGTAATGTAAGCCAGAAATGCGAGCCACATATGGATTCTAAAATTTTCTGGTAGCCACATTAAACAAAGTAAAAATTTACAAAGTAAAAATTTAATTTATAAATTTAAAATTTACAGTAAATTAATTTTAATAATATATTTTATTTAGCTTAACATACCTAAAATGTTGTATGTTCAACATGTATTTAATTTTTAAAAATTATTAATGAGATATTTTATACCACTTTTTGTTGTACTGAGCCTTCAGTATCTGGTGAGTATTTACACTACAGCAACTTTCAATTTGGAAAAGCCACATGTGGCTACTGAATGAATGAGATCATGCAGTCTAGAAGCAGGTGCACCCTTTCGTCAATTATGCACAAAAATCTTTTGACCCCGGACTTTCTTCCATTTATCACCAACACATTTTTCAACTGTCACCAAAATGGCTTAGCTATTTTGATGCGACTTTACTTTTAGGTGAAGTAAACTCAGTGTTTCTGCCATTACTATAGTACTATAGCACAATAGCACAATTGAGTTTTGCACAGTTGTGAGAACAGGAGACTGACCTAGATTATTTTTAAGGCCCATTCTCAACCTAAAACTTATGATTATGTCAAAAACATTATTTAAAAAGCACTCTGTTTAAATAAAATATCATTATCATTAATTTTGGTATTCAGAAAGTAAATCTACTCCCAAAGTAACCAAAATGAAATGGATAAATAATTTTGCTGTAAGAGTTCTTGGATTATCAATGGAATTTTATTCCTAATAATAATGATAATAAAGAGTCATTTCTAGGAAACATTTATTGAATGCCATAATGCCATTCCATCTTCTGCCTTTCCCCACTCTTCGCCTCCACTAAACTATCCACTTAAGTATCAGAATCCTTTCACAAAATTAACATATCAGCCCATGAATTTTCTAAATGCAGCCTTTGCACAGAAGAATTAAGGAAGCTTACCAATTATTGTTAGGTAAAAGCCAGCCACTAAATCCGCTTCCCAAGAAAGTTTGGAAGCAAAAGGATCCCCATCTCGAAGGTAATGGGGCAGGCGCTCGTCCTGAGGCAGGGCAGTGTGATTTAACGCCATTCTGTTCTCGAACCACGAGGGATCTGAAAAGCAAACCAGTAGAGATCTCAGCAGACCTGAATAAGCCAGCTTGAACCATTTCATAATCGTGGCTCCTGTTTTAAAACAAAAAGCAAGTTCCCAGGGTCATGCATGATTCTCTAATTAATAACTGGTAAAAATTTTAACATTTTTTTCAATGATCCAATTATGTCATTACTCAGTTATTCGGTTGGCAGATTATCCAAGCCTTCATTTTCTCCTCTGTTTTCTCATGCTACTCTTTGAGCCACTTCTTTTCTCCTTGGGGTGATTAAAAGGTTGAAGGCCAAACTGTGCAATTTACTGTTTCTTAGCAATTTTTGTAAAGGTCTGAGCAGGAAATGATATTGTATGGAGTGTGCACACATACACACACACACACTATATATATATAATTTATGTATATAAATTATATATAATATATAAAAAATTTACATATGTATATATATAACTTGTCAGAATATAGTATTTTTTGATTATCCAGATTTCCCAGAAAATCATTTCCATTGTACATTCAATGAGGTTTAGAGTTTTGTAAGGAAAGAAATAGAGCATTCAGTACAAAGGAACATGGACACTTAATTAATTGAAGCTAAGAGCTAGGTGATTGTCAAAGTGATCTTGAAATTTGGAGCTATTTAGAAAGGATTCAAGCTGGGTTGTAACTCACAGGCACATCCACAGGAAGGTTTGTTTCTCAAGTTTCCTAGAGCAGAAAGCAATTTCATTATTTCTCACCACTGCCCCAAATCCATACTTTCTATTTGCTCATTTATGCTTCTGGATGAAATCTTGAGCATTGAGGAATTTCTCAGATACACAGGTCTTAGTACTGTTTCTTTTGAATTGGAGTTTTAAAAGGTTTACACAAAGTCTTTGATGGGCTTTCTGCAAAAATAAAAGTCACATGATATCCCTCATCCTGAAACTTGGAGTCGTGTGTTGTTCTTCAGATAAAGTATGCTGCTGATGTTAAAACTTCCTTTGGAAGGGTCATTCCTTTGTCATGATTGTTCCTATTTGTTTTGAAAGGGGAAGAAATACTAGTGTGGCTGTTTCTCTTTTGAACTTGCCTATTTCAAATCGAACCAACAGATGTCACTGTTCAGCTCTCTAGGCAACAATTTCGGGCATTATATGAGACAGCAAGTGGAACACAGAGTTGTGTGCCCCACAGGCGGTGACAGGGTGATCGGCACATATCTAACCATGTAATTCACCTTCGCAAAAGACATGAATTTAACCCCTTTCTAACTGCCAACTTACAGCTTACAGAGGAAGGCTAGTGACCCTTTCAGTGGCCAGTTGGCTGAAACTACAGTCTCCTACACACAGTTTGAGGACAGTCATGTGCTAATGTTCATTCCAAATCCTTCTCCCTGAGATGGTTAGAAAGCTGTAGGAGAAATCTTTGGCTGCCAGATGCACCACATCCCAAGACCTACCCCAGGTGAAAGTTTATCTTTACCTTTCAAACTCCTGATTCCCCTTTGACTGCCTCTTGTTCTGGTAAACTCTCTCCTCCCCAAAGATTGCCCCCGCCCAACTGGCTGTCCAGTCCTGTCCTCCACCTTAGCTTCAGAATCATAAGATGAAGGTTGGAGTCCAGCTGTGATACCCACCCTCTGATCTTGAGCAAATCATTTAAACTTTCTGAACTGCAACCACTTCATCTGTAAAATGGGCAGTCTCCTTCTTACCTGTCACTCATGCTTGTTGTAGGAGCAATAGGATATCGGACTCGAAAGCATATTATGAATGGGGGGTCCTGTATATTTATTATATGCTGAGATGCTTACTTTTCCCAAACTTGCCTATCCATCAAGATATAGCTATTGTATAAGAGATTTCCTCAGGGTCCCATGCTGAATCAATGGATGCTTGTGTGTTAACTCAAGTATTCACTGAACATCTACTACAAACCCAGCATTATGAGGTAGGACAACAGAGGTTTACCATGTTATCTAGACTTAGGGAGGGTATCTATCATTTTCTGGACAGAGAAAAGATGCAACTAATGGTCAGAAAATATAATAATAATACAAGAATATAAAACAATAAAATGCTGCTTTACTTGGTTTTAGAGAATTTTTTTGAGATAGGGTCTCACTCTGTTGCCCAGGCTGGAGTGCAGCGATGTGATCAGTGCTCACTGCATCCTCGACCTCCTAGGCTCAGGTGATCCTCCCAACTTAGCCTCCCGACTAGCTGGGACCATGGCACACGCCACAACACCTAGCTAATTTTTTTTATTATTATTATTTGTAGAGACAGTATCTCTCTATGGTTCCCAGGCTGATCTCAAACTCCCGTCCTGGGGTCAAGGGCTCCTCCCACTTTAGCCTCCCAAAGTCCTGGGATTACAAGTGTGAGCCACTGAACCTGGCCTAGACAATAATTTTTAAAGCAAGGAAATAATACTATTTTCTGAGGAATTAACTAGACTGTGTGTGTAATATCAAGAAGTGTCCTTCCTATATCGAGAAGTACCCAGGCCTTGCACAGCCTAAGACTCGATATGTTAATAATGAAAATGATAACATAAAACTTCACTTGAGCCCCCAAGGGGCTTTAATAAGCAACGAAAACAGTAGAGAATATTTTCAGTAAGAAAATGACATGAGCTAAGATTTGGAGGAAAAAATGAACATAAAGTGTATAAGGGATGGAAAAAGAGTTGTTCCATGGGAACAGAGTTCATCATGGAGAGAAGTGGTAGCCATCTTGGCTTGGTAAAATGGGATCTTGTCCTGTAGAGCCTTGCCTGCCTGGCAGAAGAGTTGCTTTTGACATATCATAGGTGGACTTATTTTTTTTCTGACACTGATCAAAATTAATGCTATTGTTTAAGTTTGGAAATACAGTGTTTGAGAGTTTCTAGTTCTTTTCAAAGACACAACTTAGACACAACTCTTCCTGAGGAACACTGCGAGAAAGAGGCAGAGAATCCTAAATACATGGTTATTTGGGAATTCTTTTTTTTTCCACTCTTCTTTATACATTACAAACTCATTTTTCAACTTCACACTTTACACTTATTTTCCCCATATGTAATTTGTGTTCCATTTCTTCTCAGTCTATCCAAATTCCACTTGACCTTCAAGCTTTTATCCAAAGTCTACATCCTTCAGAATATAAAACTGGCTCCTTCAGTCACTACTAAAATACTCCTAGGAGAAATTAATCCACTTAATTTACCTAATTCTTCCTCTGGTTTACCTACACATGAGTAAAATAACTTTCAGTTCATAAAGAAATTAGAGGTACCAGTGCATAGTATGGGATCATTATCATTATTTTGTTGAGGTGCTATTTCATCATTGATACAGAATTATACTTTTTGCTGAAAACAGGCTATAGCAATGCAACCATCATAAATATTTTTGCAGAACACTAACTGTACTACTTAAAATAATAAATGCAACACATAGTCATGACTGAATTTGTTCAGAGATATGTTTTAGAGAGTTTCTTTTTCAGTATTGAATGTGCCTGAATTACCTCATTGTGTAAATAAAATAGTCATTTGTCGATTCCTTCCCTCTTTTACCTCCTGTATTTGAAGATTGCCTACCGCCCATAGTAGATAGATGCTGTCCTATCTACCTTCCCAGGTGGTCAGGGCCCTCAACACCACATCCCCCAGTTCCCTGGGATGGCATCCTATGATCAAACCAATGGTTCCCAATCAGCTGCATATCTGAATCTCTTATGTACTTATTTTTTATTTTTTGTATATTGTTATTGTTGTATTTTGTATTGTAGCTATTCTTTAGGTACTGTAGTCTGGGTACAACTTCCAGGGTCTATGATATTATTTCCAAGAGGATCAGTTTGTCGAATTTTGTAACCATGGAAGCTTGCCTTTCTTGCACAATATTTCATGGCACTATTGCTTGGGAAACAACATATGGGGGTTGGAGGAAAGTATCCTGTTTAAAAGTGGAGGAGAAACTAAATGACTTGTCAAAATTTCTGCTGAATTTATGATTCTGTGAAAGATATAAATGAAACTTCTTGGAGTAAGTTGTATGTGATTATTCATGTTAGCATAATCCTTTAAGCCATAAAATATACTCCACTGCTCTCACATCTGCTAATCAATGGTCTTTTGGACCATGAATAAATCTTCCTAAGACTGTTCTCATAACAGCTTATTATGGAAAAAGCTGAAAACATCTCCACTCTTCATCACCCATAAAAGTTTTAAATATCTTTTGAGTTACCAGAATTAGCCATTTAAAATCCTGTATTATTCCACAATGAAAAATTAAAGAATATCTTTAGATGTAGCCAGAAGTCCTCATGTCCAAATTGAATGGACTTACAAATAGGTATAAGCAAATACGGAAGAGAGAATGGCACAGGTTCCCCTCCTAACAGGAAATAAACACAAGTTCGTACCAAGAAACAGAGTCCAACTCTGTTAGACTCTATCTAGTCTTAAAATTATCTTCAAAAAATATTTGGCAATAAATTTCCCCTTGACCTGCTAAATTTTCCCTGGTTTAATGCAGGAAATACCAAAAAGCATGGGCAGTGTGGAGAGCCACTTATGCAAGGTGAAAGTGACCTGCCCAAAATGGTCTTCTCCACTGGCCTGCTCTGGCTTCTGAAACTTTTGCCATTTTTTGCCTGAAGCATCATCACCACGAAATTTCTTTCTAGGGATATACTATCTGAGAACATGAAATTTGAATCTACCGGAATCCATGAAAACTTCAACATAAAGTAGTTTCTGAAATTAGTTACTTGAAACCTAGTAGAAGCCAGCAGACCTCAAAATAGGTGTAAGATGGTGCAGAGTAAGTTGGAAACAAACATCGAAGGCCAGGAAATGTTCAGGAAGTTAACAAAGAAACACCCACGAACTAGAGAGATGTCCAAGAAAGGTAAGCAGATAATATTCAATATCTCGAGGTAAAATGTGCTCAGTGTTAAGCCTGATAAAATGTAAGTAAGGAAACATAGTTTATTAAAAATTCAGAAATCCTTTAGCTGGTTTACACAGGTCTTTAACAAGTGGGTGATTGCCCATTTCCACTACTGTTCAAAAGGATTACCCACAATAAGCCTACAGGAAAAAGGATTTGTGGTCAGATTCATTTTTATACCAACTTCAGAAATTTGTGCCAGCCTCTAGGCTGGTGTCTTATGATAAGGGACCAACAATTCAGGACTAAGCTTCTTTCACTCAACCCCAGCGAGCCAGCTGGCATGGGCCATGATTGTGTGCAGGGACGACCACAATGAAGACCAGCAAGTTTTCCCAGTCGTCCAGGGACAACCACACTGGAGACCAGTCAGTTTTCTTCCGTTACTCCTTCTGCATGCTAGCCTCTCTCCTGTCTCTATCGACCTTCGGATTTGACCTCCCCATTTGAGCACCACAGTGGTTTCAAGCACCTCCCCTTTCCTTTCCTATCAAAATCTTCTCTAAAAAAATGGAATTGATAAATCTTGTTGACATGGTATGACATTTATAATACATTTTATGGAAAAACACTAATTATCAAAGAGTTATGAAGCATTTTTAAGCGAGAGAAAACTATAGAGAAAGATACCTAGAAATATATATGCCAAAGTGTTAAAATATATTTTTATTATGTATAGTGTTAGCATGGTTATGATGTATAATGATGTTAGGAGTAATTCTTTCTTTACTTTTTATTTGGAGAGTGAGGATACTTGGTAATATAGCCACTTTTTTAATTGTTTAAAAATGGCATACTAATTTTGCAATATTGTCTATATTTTTAATAAAGAATTTGTTACAAATTATAACATTAGTGAAATTGCTACACCCATCCATTTATTCATTCATATATTTATTTACCACGGATTATGTGCAGGCGCCTACTCAGTCTATAAATTACTTCCCTTGGAAATTTGCCATTAATGAGATGCCTTACAGAAGCTGAAATTGAAGGTTTTTCTGCGAAAGACCTACTCACAGCCCTGAAGTCTCCCCACATAGGTAAGCAGCTCACATCTGTGCTCTAAGCATGTGCCAGCACTGCCTTGGATGTGTGTCAGCCAGAGGTCACACCTTAAGGATTTTCTTCCTAGTAATTGTGTCTCTTCTTGCTCATGAAGTATTCTATAAATTCAAAAAATTTAAGCTGTGCTCTTCATAATTATTTTTTTTCTGTGTCAGCATCTATATGTGCTTAACATGCAATAAGCCATAATGATACCAATAGTGATATGTCATAGATCAATTCTGTATTCCAGTGAAAAGATTTGGATTATTTTTACATCTATTATATAAGAATATAGTGTTTTTCTTTTATACATGAAAAGAAAAACCTGAAAGCACCTTGACATGCAAAGTAGCAATCAAGAAATAAAATCAATAGATTGGGGTCTCAAATACCCCAATCCAGGTCTCCAGAGGGGTAACCTTTACCTATTAGCTAGTGCTAATGAGATCCTTGCCTTCTCTACAGGGGAAATGTTCACAGCCACAAAGAAAACTAGTAATTAGCTGAGGTTTTCTGTCAAACAGAAATGCACATACGCTTTTCGGGCTTTTTCTGCCATGGTTCAATATGATGCTAGAGAAGAAAATAAAAGAGTAGTATTTTTTTTCAACACACTTAACTAAAAATATGGCAGAAAACATGGAAAAGAAGGGCAGGAGAAAGGAAGGGAAGTAGGAAGGCAAGAATCTTTTTCTCTACAGAACCAAGCCAGCAAAAGAGCAATCAATTCAATTCAATATTTTGTAAGCCTTGTAAAGAGCGGGCAGAGTTGTCTGTTGAAAATAACAACCTCCATGCCAATTTATTCCTAACCGGTTCAGCTTGAAACCAATTGACAAATCTAAGGTAATAGGAGAATTATGAGAAATAGACAGACCTGCTCTAACATTTTCTTAGATTGATAATATTTAAAGTGTCAACTGTCATGTAATGACTACTATTTTATCCAGCTTCTGAATAGTAAGTTTCAAATTAGTTTATGCCCACACTCTCTCCAACCCAAGTCTCTCAAGCAAAAGGGATGAGGTGTAAATTTTTATATAACAATTACTATTGTAATTTCCGGGCCTCAATATTTCTCTTTCTCAGAATAAGAGGCGCTTCCTACTCAAGTACTAGACAAGGTTGCCCACCTCCTGGCATGGTGTCCATTCTTCTATTTATCTCCCAGGGGACATTGCCTACATCCAAAAGTCCTTCTTAGCAAAGCAATCAAGTAACCCAACCCTCTGCTGATAATGAAAGGGGCCACCTGATCTAAACACTGGCCCAGAAACATGCGGGAAACCATAAACCCCAGAAATGAAACCGGAACCACAGAATTCCCCACAGCATCACCAAGGAATAACAGACCTGCAAATCCTTCTCAAGTTGGAAGCATCTTTGGACATTTTATTTATTGTAGGCAATTTATTTCCTCCTCAGCCCTCAAGAGTATAAAAAGAAACTTGGACAATAATAATAGTAATGTTTGAGAAAAGGGCAATAAATCCCCTAATTTACATCTCAAATTCAAACACTCCAGCTCTGAGCTCCTATATCCATACAGATCATGTTAGCGATGATTTATAATTATTAAGTTGCCCTCAGTAATAATAATAATCAACATGAAACATGCAGAATTTTCAACAATAGGATCTGTTTATTCCTCATCAAAAGGAAATATACAAGTTTACAAAAAAAAACTGTGAGGAACAAAGTGGCTAAACACCTGGGCAAAGAAACTCAGATTGCTTCAGAAAAGATCAGAAATTGCAATTTTACAGATTCTCACTATTTTACTGCTGGGTGCATTCTTTATTTTATTCCTGATGTGAAACTCTGCTTCTGAGATGTCTTTTATATGCGTTAGTTGACAGATTGGGCCTAAACCCAACAGTAGGAAAAAAATCCAATTAACTTCATTAATTACAGTGGTTTTCAGAATAAAGGCTCAGACAGAACAGCTTTAACGTGCTCCTAGTTCTCACAGCCACAAAGAAAAAGAAAGGAAAAAAATTCCCTGAAAATGAATTAAGAGTCATTGTTTCTTTGCCTCGTGTATCATGCATAAGCTATCCTCATAATTCCTTGTAATTGACCATTCAATTCAAAGTCCTATTTTCCAGACAGGAAATCTTAGAAATTCTTGTTTCTTAGTTGGTTTAGCCCCTTGTTAAAACTCACCGATTTAAGAGCCTGCCAGGGGAAGTTTCTTTCCCTGGGCTTCTGGCTGGGTTTGCTCAGGTCTTGCGACTTCTTCCTATTGGTTCCTTCCAGAGCAATAATACTCTAGTTACTTTGTGCTTCAGCTGATTTTGAACATTATAAGTGAAAGGTATTCATTTTCTAGACTTCCCTGCTCTCTCCACCCCTTTGGCAAAAGGACCAATCATATCTTTGGAAAAAGCAATCTCATCTTATTGAATTATGAGGAGAGATGCAATTTTTGGAAGCTTCACTTATCGGTGATTAAAAAACCACCAGCAGTTATTTGGCCCTTATATTGATCAGAAACAAGAATAATGTTGTCTGCTGACTGTACTTTAAGATACCATATGCTTGATTTTTTTTCTTTTCAGATTTAAAAGTCTCAGATTAATCATTAAATAATTTATAATTAAATCCTAAAGCCTTTATTATTTATTTCTGGTCTTAGGTTATTTTTTAACCAAGACATACTATACTTACCTTAATATATAACTGCTTAAGAAATACAACTAAAATAGAAAAAGGAAAACTCACACATCATTTTTTAAACATAAAAGTTAACACTTGTCCTAGCCTGGTTTACGACCCTAAAGGTTTGTCAGGATTGAAAATGCAGTTTTTGTTCTTTGGCATTAAGTCAAAGCCGCACGCTGTCATGTCTAGCAGTGAATGACACTGAATCCTTGTCACTGGCACTGTGCTTAGCGTTTTACATGCATTGTTTCATTTTAGCTTCACAAAAATAATGCTGTGAAGAAAGTTACTGTTATTATTGCCAGTTTTTTAACTGACGACTAATAATTGTACATTTCATGGGGTACTTAGTGATGTTTCAATACATATAATGTGGAGAGATCAGATCAGGGTAATTAGCATATCCATCATCTCAAACATGTATTATTTCTTTGTGTTATGAATGTTTGCAGCCATAAAGAAAACTAGTGATCAGGTGAAGCTGACTGTCAAGCAGAAATGAATACACACTTTTATTAGATTTAGAGAGGTTAAGTTAGCTTGCACAAGGTCATGCTACTTAGCTCCTAGTACTATTTCATTATATGTTTGTTGACTATATCAATGAACAAGACTTTAACCAACGCATAGCATTTCTTCAAATAATGTTTTTCATGGAGAAAAGAGGAGACATTATATTTATGTTAGAGAAAAAATGTAATGTGTCAATAAACACAATCACTTTAGGAAAGCCTCCTAAAAGGTAAGATTATTTCAGAGCAGCCCTCACAAGAAACATTCCTAGCTTTTCCATTATAATCTCAGTTTTAAATATCTTATCCCACCAACGGTAGAATTGTGCTTTTCAAATCACGTGATCCCACAGTTTTTTAAAGTCTCACTATAAGTCATACCTCAGCTCTTCTCCCATTCATTCACTTACCCTCCAACTATAATAGAAATAAGATAATGTGCTTTCAAAAGCCTCAATCTGGAGAACAGATTTATCTTTCTTGAAAGTTATGTGATTTCTTTTTTTAAAAAAGGTCAAAAATTATTGTTCTCCAAAAAAAGATGCTTAAATAAGAAAAGTAAAAGATGCTTAAATAATTGGGGTAGCGAATGGAGTCAGGAGGAAATAGAGCAAAGAACATTGCCTTCCTTAATTTGCATGTGGATTCTCTACTAATGTCCAGCCAGGCCTGGGTATGAATGTGTGCTTGCCATAAAATTTTGTCTCTGACTGTGGAATTAGCAGACCCAAGTGCCAGGATTAATTATACTGCTTACTAAGTAAATAATTTTACCCTGAGGTCATCGACCTTTTCAACTCCAGTGAACTTTATTTCAACAATTCACTTCTATGGTCATGCCCTAGTCTTGTGCATAACCTTGTACTGCTCCACCTATGAAACAATAAATTCTAATTATCACACCCACTGGCCACAATGTCCTATTCTTCCATGACACCCAAGTGCTCTCATGCCTGAATCTCTGTTGTACCTTAATTGATCACCTCCTTTTGTCTTCAATTTGCTTTCCCTCTTTACATATTAATATCTTAGAACCTCAAGGTCTATTGCATTAGTCACTCAACAAGCTTCACAAATTTCTGATATCCTTAATTTCTTGCTTGATCTGCCCTACAAAACCCAGCTTGAGAATTGTATTAGTCTGTTCTCACATTGCTATAAAGAACTACCTGAGACTGAGTAATTTATAAAGAAGTTTAATTGACTCACAGTTCTGAAAGTTGTGCAGGAAGCATGGCTGGGAAGGCCTCAGGAAATTTACACACATGGCAGAAGGCAAAGGGGAAGCAGGCACATCTTCATATGGCAGAGCATGAGAGAGAGAGCAAAGGTGGAAGTGCTACACACTTTTAAACTACCAGATCTCAAGAGAACTCACTCACTATCATGAGAACAGCAAGGGGGAAGTCTGCCACATGATTCAATCGCCTCCCACCAGGACCCTCTTAAAACGCTGGGGATTACAATTCAACATAAGATTTGGGTGGGGACACAAATCCAAGCCATATCAAGAATTCAGACATTCGATTTCTCTCCTACAACATTTCAGAGTACACTCTATGGAGCAGAGTCTCTACAAAATAGGTTTGTCATAAATTTAGACAACAATACTGTCAGGCTATCCCAAACATATTTTTCTGAAATATCGAGTTCTGAAACGAGATCTCTAAGGTAGCTTTGATGTGGGAAGGGAAAAGAGAGTTTATAGATGTTACCAATTGTCAATTCAAATTAATATGGCTCTTTCTCAACAAACCTTTTTGAGCCCTCAGCTTGAACTGGACATTAGCTTAAGTGCTGGAAATTTTTGCTTTCATGGCACTTGCAATCTATATGAAAAGAAAACTAATGACCATAGAAAGTCAGGGTTGCATCCAAGCAGGGGCCCAAGCATTGGGATTCTGAGAAGGGAGACTCTATCAGTTTGGAAGATATGGCATCTTCAATGCAATTTAGTAGTGGCCATATGACTGAGAGGGTTATATTATCTACCTAAAAGAAATCAGTAGGCCGGGCATGGTGGCTCATGCCTGTAATCTCAGCACTTTGGAAGGCCAAGACAGGTGGATGGCTTGAGCCCAGGAATTCAAGACCAGCCTGGGCAACATGGCAAAACCTCATCTCTACCAAATTATATATATATATAAATTAGTTTGGTGTGGTGGCACACACCTATAATCTTGGCTACTTGGGAAGCTGAGGGGAGGATTGCTTGAGCCTGGGAGGTCAAGTCTGCAGTGAGCCATGTTCACCTGCCACTGTACTCCAGCCTGGGTGACAGATCAAGATTCTGTCTCAAAAAAAAAAAAAAGAAAAAAAGGAAAGAAATCAGTGTATCCACTATGAGCCAGAAAATCTGCTGGGTGCTGAAGATACAACAGTAAAAAGACAAACATAAAATTTATTTAACTACAATTAAGGAAAGTACCTACCAATAAGCCACTCACAGAAAATAAAACTGTCTCCAAATGTAGTGTCAGCAAATCCCTATTTTAAAGATGGACAAACAGGCCAAGGCCCTCAGTTATCTCTTCTGCAAGAGGAAAGGATTTATCATTCTCCTAATTGATTTTGCACATCAGCTTTCCTTGCAGAGGCTGAGCTAGGTGCTCCATTTTTCATCATTAGTAAAAGACAAATACATCTCACCCAACTGTGCAAAACTGCCTGCACTGAGTCACACCAGCCCCAGACTCTAGTCCTGGGTGCTTACTCTGACTGCCCAAACCCAGGGAATGAGGAAACCTCTTTGTTAAGGATCAAGTATCTTTATAAAGGCTTCAAAGCCAGTTATTGCTTCACTAAATTCAGCCTCCCTCTCCTCCATTAACCTCTCTCCCATGATGTTTTGTTCATCTACTTAGAAGTAATACTAATTGTTGTACTTTTTTGCAACTACTTATCATTTATGTCCAAATACAATGCAAGATGTTAATGATTACTGAGTCATGTTAGTAAATGTATATCAAGTTAACCATTTATTAATGCACGCATTCATTCAACAATACTTATCAAGCACTTTTCTTAGTCCCTTTCTGCTGCTATGACAGAATACTACAGACTGAGTGATTTTTAAACAATAGAAATATATTTGGCTCACAGTTCTGGAAGCGAGTAAGTCAAAGATCAAAGAGTCACATCTGGAAAGGACCTTCTTGTTTTGTCATTACATGGCAGAAGGTATCACACAGTAAGGAAGGGCAAAAGAGGGCAAGAGCATGCAAGACAGAGAAAAAGAGAGAACCGAACTTTCATGATAACTAACCCACTTCCACCATGATAGCATTAATCCATTCATGAAAGTGGAGCTCTCAAGGCCTAATCACCTCTTTAAGGCCCCACCTGTTAATACTGTCACAATGGCAATTCCATTTCAACATGAGGATGGAGTTCAACATTCAAACCATAGTAGCACCTGCAATGTACCTGGCACTCAGAAAATGAACAAATGGACAAATAAATATATAGAAAGTCAAATGGTCATAGTATAATGGAGAAAAATAGAGCACAAAGAAGAGAATAGAAAATGCCAGGGGCTGGGGTGATGGTAGAGAGTCATTCTTTTATTAAAAGTAGCCATGGATGACTCACTATAAAAGTGACATTGGAGCAGAATATGAAGAAAGTGAGAGGGCAAGCCTGAAAGACATTTGGGATATGAAATTTCCAGGCAGAGAAAGGAGCAAAAATAGTAAAAATTTCAAAATAGTTAGCTATAATAAAACTTAAAGGTTGCACTAATTTATTTATCAAATAATTTGTTATGGGGCAGTAAGGTTCAGAGTAATTCTTATATAGAGCTTAAAATGATTTAGATAAGTTCAAATTTGTGCCTAGCTAACACAGAGCAGTCCTTTGAAACTGTGGACTGAGGGAGTATAGATACAGTCTAACATCCTGGGGGTTAAAAAACAACTAGATATATTACTAGTTGCAGCTCAAGTGACATGTCCAATATTTCAGTTTAGTTGATGCACAGTATTTTTGCTTCCTGTGTGGAAAGAAATTCATTGAAATGGCTTTTTGCAATGATTCTTTCCTTATCTAAAAGAAGGGGCAATTCTTTATCTTTTCTGATACTCACGTTTATATGCGAAGGCCCGGGGAAGTAGCGTTGACTTACAATCATCTGCCCAGGTGTCCCTGGTGGTAAATCAAAGTAACAGAGAAGATTAAGAAAAAATGAATGGACAAGAAAATCTTTCTTTATCAAATTGGGAGCCCAAGGATTAAGAAAGATCTTATATCAAAAAGTTGTATTGAAAGATCAGACAAAAAGTACCATGACTAACGATCTGAAGAATTTAGAAGCAAGAGAAAAGAGATAAAAGTAACTAATTCCTACTCTTTTCTTTTTTTCCATGAGGGAATGACACACTATCAAGTCTCACTGTACAGTACCTCAGCAATGTCAGCCTTCATCAAGACTTTGCCTACTGGTTACAATGCTAGCATGGAACTCTTCTCCTTCCTTCATTCAACAAATATTTACTGAGTACCTTCTGAGTATGCTTCCAATACTATGCTTGGCCCTGAGAACACGATTGTTGAGCAAAAGATATGGCCTACATCCTAATTAATTTTTCTGTCAGGCAGAAGAGACACATTTTAAAAAAGCAGTTGCAAGTTTTACAAAGGAGAATTCAAGATTATGTGGGAACACAGAAAGGGGAACATATATCAGTGAATAAATGGAAAAAGAAAATGTAGCCCATATACACAAGGGAATACTCTTCAGCCTTAAAAAAGAGGAAAATTCTGTCATTTGAGACAACATGGATAAACCTAGAGGACATTATATTAAGTGAAATAAGACAGACGTAGAAAGAAAAATACAGAATGATCTCACTTATATGTGGAATCTAAAACAGTTGATCTCATAGAAGTAGAGGGTAGAATGTTGGTTTTCAGAGGTTAGGAGCAGGGGAGTTGGGCAGATGTTAGTCAAAAAATTTAAACTTTCAATTAGACAGGAGGAATAAGTTCAAGATATATATTGAATATCGTGGAAACTATATTTAATAACAATGCTTTGTGTTCTTGAAAATTGCTAATGAATAGATTTTAAGTGTTCTCACGACAAAAAAAAAATGAGGGTAGTACATATGTTGATTAGCTAGATTTAGCCAGTCCATAATGTGTGCATATTTCAAAATGACATCATGTACACAATAAATATACAAAAGTTTTGTCAATTAAAAAACTTTTAATAAATTTATTTTTAAGAAAATAAACATAAAGGGAAAGAAACCTGGAAACATAAATCACAAAGAAATGAAGAGCAACAGAAATGTAATTATATAGGTAACTATTATTTAAATCTCCCAGAAGTATAATTGTTCAGGCAAAAATAATAAAAATATAGTATGAGATTAATAGTGTGTGTGTGTGCATATATATATGTGTTCACTAAAGTGAACATAAAGAACACAAAGGAGTGAAATGAAGAAATGCAAGTGTAATATCGTAAGGTTCTTATGCCATATGTGTAGTATCTATGTAGACTGTGATCAGTTAAAGATATATATTAATCCCTAAAGCAACAACCAAATTAACAAAACAAAGAGTTGTAGCTAATAAGCCAACAAAGGAAATAAGATGACATCATAAAAGAAGAAATGAAGAACAAAGAATAAATACTGTATTGGTCAGGGTTCTCTGGAGAACCCTGATATATATATTTTATATATTTATATATTTTTTATATAATGTGTTATAATGTGTGTGTTACTTATACAGTGAGCAAGAAAGAGAGATCAGTTTATTACAAGGAAATGGCTAATGCATTTACAAAGACTTAGTAGTTCCAAAATCTGTAGTCAGCAAGCTGGACACCCAGAAAAGCCAATGGTTTAAGTTCCAGTCCAAGAGCAAATCTAAAGGCAGGAGAAGACTGATGTCCAAGCTCAAAGACAGTCAGACAGAGAGAGTCTTCCTCTACTCACAGGAGGGCTTTTTTGTTCTATTCAGACATTCACTTGATTGGATGGAATCCATTCAAATAAAGGAGAGCAATTTGCTTTACTCAGTCTACTGGTACAAATGTTAATTTCATCCAGAAACACCTTCATAAACCCAGAATAATGTTTGGCCAAATATCTGGATATACCATAGCCCAGTGAATTTGACACATAAAATTAACCGCCATGGATGGGATAAGTAGAAAACAAATAGCAAGATGAGATACTTAAATTTAACCATACAAATAATTACATTAAATGTAAATGGTCCAAACACCAAAACTAAAAGGCAGATACTGACAGATTAGATTAAAAAATACCTAATGTAAATGACGGGTTAATGGGTGCAGCACACCAACATGGTGCATGTATACATATGTAACATACCTGCACGTTGTGCACATGTACCCTAGAACTTAAAGTATAATAATTAAAAAAAAAGTTCTTACCCTTTGGAGATATTCCTGTGACTCCAATAATAATAAATTGGTAATAAATGCTCAGAGTATATTGTGAAAAAAAAGAGCTAACTACATGCTGCCTACAAGAATTGCACTTTAAATATAAAGACATAAAAGTATTAAAAATAAAGTCTAAAAAAGAGATATATCATGCTAACACTGATCAAAAGAAAGCTAGAGTGACTATATTAAAATCAGAAAAAGTAGATTTCAGAGCAAAGAAATTTGCAAGGGATAAGGAAGGTCATTTTGTAATAATACAGGGATTGACTCATCATAAGGACATAAATGCGTAACATAATATAGAAAGAAAAAGTTTACATATCAATGACCTAACGTGCCACATTAAGAAACTAGAATTTTTTAAAAGGCAAATATAAACAGAAGAAAAAAATAAAGCTAAAAATAAGAATCAATGAAATAGAAAACAGAAAAACAATAGAGAAAAAAAATGACACGATTAATGGTCATTAAAATATTTCTTGAAAAAAAAAGTCTATGGAACCATGTATTCAATGGAATTCTCCTCAGTAAATGATTGAACCACGGGAATATGCCTGGGCCCCACTGAGGATTTTTTAATTCAAGTCCAGTTATGCATATTTAAAACACCTCTGCTAACTCTGATGAAAACACATCCACAATTAAGAACTATTGACTTACATCAAATAAAACTATATTTGTCCTTGATTTATTTTCATATCAATGTGAAGATATAGTGAGACAGAGTTCTAATAAAATCAATAATGCTTCAGAAATGGACATGTTGTGAGCAGTGACAAAACATAAGAATAGTGAGAAATCATTAGCACACGCAACTCTTCCACATTACAACATGCCCCCAACTACAGTGTAAGAGGCCATCCATGACAACCCAGCATGACAATCCGGTGTCTTTCTGGTAATTGCTACAAGCATAATGGAATATGAAACACAGCAAAACGTAGTTAGTTACATGTTACAAAATATCAGAAAGAGTCACTAGGTTTTTAAATAGTCAGAATAGACAAATTTCTCATCAAAAGAAACAAAGATTAAGTAGCACCTCATGGAGAGATTTATCATTATCGCCTCAAGGAAATGTTTTTCACCCAATGACTAAGATGATAAACTTTAAAGTAATGGTGATGATGGTAATAATAACTCTTACTGTTTCTTAAGTGGCTACTATATGCCAAACCCATACTTATGTGTGTATACACATATATATTTATATCTCTAATATAAATATATATAAATTTTATATATTATATATTATAAATTTAGATTACATGTATATATAGACAGAGAGAAAGAGGTGGGGGAGACTGTATTTGCCTAATAGTGATGTTTACCTTGTAAGTATGAGTAAGGAAACAGCTTGGATCCCAAAAGCTAAATTCACAAAGCTTTTTAATGCTAGATCAACATGCCAATCACAACCATATTTTAGTTTATTAAAAGTAATTATTTCTTGCTTAGACCCCATAAAATTCCATGAAATATCCTGGCTTATCAGTTGAAGACCCAATGGTGGGGAGAGGGTGGGCAGGAAGAAGGCTGCGCATGTGTTCCCTCCAACAATCCTAAATAGGAGCTTCTAAACCACTTGCATATGGGAAAATAAGTGTTTTTGACATGTCATCCACCCACCTTCACCCTCTAAGATTCCTGCCAGAATGAAGCAGTGAGGAAGACAGTGAATCAAAACTAGCTGATGTGTGATAGGCCCATTCTTGAGTTCTAGTGCAATTCCCTGGAAAATGTGTAAATGCTGAATGTGGTGATTAAATGATATACAAAGCATGTCAGTTAAAAAACTTGAAAAGGAACTGTGTGGGTGTGTATTTTGAAGGAAATTTCTAAAAGTTCTTATCAAATTGGCTCTCTGAAGATTTACAGAGAGCAAAGTCAGGAATACTTCCCTTCAGCAAAGAGTTGCAATCAGGAAGAAAGTGAGCAAGGTGAAGTAAATGATATTTTAAGACATGGTTATTTTAGTACCAAATGAAATTTCCATTCAGATATAATTTGCGAACCCCTTGGGTGACACTTCCATGCAATGAAATAATACTATAATGACACAATGACAGAATTTTCTAAATCTATCAACCCTTAAAATTTAACAGTGAGCAGAATTTTCCCAACCTCTCTCTTGCCAATTGAGGGCGTAAATATGACAGTTAGTCAGCTAGTAGCTGTGGGCATCAGGAACTACTACATAATGATGTCTGAGCAATATATTTCATTTACACATTTTATATAAACTTTCTTACAAATTGTTGAATTCCATGCAGTTTATGCAAACACTTCTTGTTTCTTTCTGTTTTCTAGTTACATTATTTATGTTGACTGTAATAATGTACCTTATAAAGAATGAAAACTGAAAACAGGAATATTCAAGAAAGTTCTCTAAGCACACAAACATAGATACCAATATGTGTATCACAGAATCTGTTAGATCAGATCCATGTACCTAATTACTCTTACTTTAGACACAGTTCTAACAAGCTTAGGTTTCTGGTTCCCTGCCTAAAGAGTGTTGGAAAAAAGAGGTTAAAAGTACAACCATTGTGGAAGACAGTGTGGCAATTCCTCAAGGATCTAGAATCAGAAATACCATTTGACTCTGCAATCTCATTACTGGGTATATACCCAAAGGATTATAAATCATTCTACTATAAAGACACATGCACACGTATGCTTATTTCAGCACTGTTGACAATAGCAAAGACTTGGAACCAACCCAAATGCCCACCGGATAAAGAAAATGTGGGACAAATACATCATGGAATACTATGCAGCCAAAAAAATGATGAGTTCATGTCCTTTTCAGGAACATGGATGAAGCTGGAAATCATCATTCTCAGCAACTAACACAAGAACAGAAAACCAAACAATGCATTTTCTCACTCATAAGCGGGAGTTGAACAATAAGAACACATGGACACAGGAGGGGAACATCACACACCGGGGCCTTTCAGGGGGTTGGGGGCTAGGGGAGTGGTAGCATTAGAAGAAATACCTAATGTAGATGACGGGTTGAAGGATGCAGCAAACCACCACGGCACGTGTATACCTATGTGACAAACCTGCACATTCTGCACATGTACCCCAGCACTTAAAGTATAATTTAAAAAAAAATTAGGTAGCACAATATTGGTGTTAAACAGATTTAAATTAAAATTAACATTGAAAAGAAAAAAAAAAAAGAAGAGAGAAACCAAGGCTTAGAGAGTTTAAGTAATTTGCCCAGAGGAGAAAAGGGTATAAGTGGGACTGGAACCAGTCATTTCAAACCTCGGTCAATGACATTCTTTGGGGGAAAAGAAAAATAAAAAACTAGATCTTTGTCGTTGTTGCTGTTTTCAAAAAAAAAAAAAAAGGTAGCATAATATCCTCAAAGTTAACCATATTGTACCATTTGACAGGATTTTCTTCTTCTTTAAGGCTAAATAATACTCCATTGTATGTCTATACAACGTTTCATTTATACATTCATCCTTCAATGGGCATTTAAGTTCTTTCCACCTCTTGGCTATTGCGAATAATGCTGTAATTAATAAATACGGTAATGAAAATATCTTTCTGAAATCTTGTTTTTAATTCTTTTGGATCAATGCCCAGAAGTGGAATTACTGGATCAAATGGTACTTAAATACAAATACTGCGTGATTCCACTTTTGTGATGTATCTAAAGTAGTCAAACTCAAAAGAATGAGAAAATAAAATGGTGGTTTCCAGGGGGCTGAGGAAAGGAGGAAGTGGGGAGTTGCTGTGCAATGGGTATAAATTTTAGTCATGCAGGATGCGTAAGTTCTAGAGATCTGCTTTACAATTATGTGCATATAGTTGGCAATACTGACTGTACACTTAAAAATTGGTTAATCCCATATTATGTGTTCTCACAATAATAATTTTTTATGTACAGAAGTAAACTAGAGGTATCAAACGCAGATGCAAGATGTGATTGCAATAGCCACTTTGGAAGACAGTTTGGCAGTTTCTTACAAAACTAAATGTACTTTTACCATACAATCCAGCCATTGTGCTCCTTGGTATTTGCCCAAATGAATTAAAAACATGCCCACACAAAAACCTGCACACAAATGTTTATGGCAGTTTTATTCATCATTGCCAAGACTTAAAAGCAAACAAGATATCCCGTAGTAGGTGAATAAATAAATAAACTGTTGTACATCCAGCCAATTGAATATTATTTGGCATTGAAAAAATGAGCTATTAAGCCATGAAAAAATGTGGAGGAAACTAAATGCATATTACTAAGTGAAAAAAGCCAATCAAAAAAGGCTTTTCATTATATCATATTACATTATATTATATCATATATTATGTATATTATATTATACATACTGTATAATGCCAACTATATGACACTCTGGAAAAGGCAAAACCATGGAGACAGTAAAAATGTTAGTTATTGCTAGGGGTTAAGGGAGGGGAGAGACGAATAGGAGGAGCACAGAGGATTTTTAGGACAGTGAAACTACTCTGTATGATACTATAATAGTAAATACATGTTATTACACATTTATCGAAACTCACAGAATGTGCAATACCAAGAGTGAGACTTAATGTAAGCTACAAACTTTGGATGAGTATAACATGGCAATGTAGGTTCATCAATTGTAAAGGTACCACCCTGGTGTGGGATGTTGATAGTGGAGGAAGTTGTGCATATGAGAACTTTCTGTACTTTCCACTCAGTTTTGCTGTGAATCTAAAACTGCTCTAAAGAAATAAAATTTGGCCGGGCTTGGTGGCTCATGCCTGCAATCCCAGCACTTTGGGAGGCCAAGGCGGGTGGATCATGAGGTAAGGAAATCAAGACAATCCTGGGTAACATGGTGAAACCCCATCTCTACTAAAAAACACAAAAAATTAGCCGGGCGTGGTGGCGGGCACCTGTAGTCCCAGCTACTCGAGAGGCTGACGCTGAACCCGGGAGGCAGAGGTTGCAGTGAGCTGAGATTGCACCACTGCACTCCAGCCTGAGTGACAGAGCAAGACTCCGTCTCGATAAAAAATAAATAAATAAATAAAATTTATTAATTAAAATGTATTAAATAAAATGTATATAATTACTTATATAATCTACTATATATAATAAAATAAAGAATTCCTAAAAATAAAAATTCAGAGATACTGAGGGTCAAGATCAATAGCTCTGCATATTGAGATGGACCCTAGGTGAATCAATGTATTACAGGACAATGCAATTATAAATAACTGATATTCACAATTACAGTTTTAACTAACCATTACACAAATATGTATTGAGCATTTTCCAGATGACAAACACTGAAAAGAGAGAAGATGTGGCTTGTGGTGATGTCAGTCATTGGGCTTTTAGTCCAATAACAGCAGAAAAATTAATATGTATAGCACATTACACAATAAGGTTAGAAAATTCCAGTGAGTTCCATATGTATGATTCTTGGGAGCTCAACCTGAAACCGTCAAAGACTGCTTAAGGTGAGATGATTTCAAGTATGAGAACTTAAAGGATAGCTAAGATTTAAATAGAAGTATACTGTAGTGATTATTAGCATAGCTCCTGGAATCCGATGTCCTGGGTTCAAATCCCAGCTCCACTACTTGCTAGTTGTATGCCTTTAAGGAAGTTACTTAAGATTAAATGAGTTAATATAGACCAAATGCTTAAAATAGTGCATAGGAGAGTTTGCTGTCAAAATTTAAATAGGAGGGTGATGAGCATGAATGAACCTAAAAGATGTGTACAAAATGAACTATGTGATCCATGTCGTCAGGCTATAATAAACAAATCACTGTATATGTGCACCCACTCACACATGTCTGCATGCTAATAATAAATCTGATGTGTTGAAGAAACCTCACAAAACTAAATGGTTAAAAAACAAATAGTGCAGAGAATTCAGTTATGACGAATACATGGGTTCCAATACCAAGTCTGACTAAATGACCTTAAGATGATACTGAAACTCTAACCTCTTTTCTCCATGAGCCAAATGGATAACAATATAATACCTGTGTTATGGGGTAGCTGTGAAGAATAAATGACATTTGACCTGTAAAGCACAGTGCTTAACAAAATTATTACTAATTTTCTGGTTAACTAAAGGAAGAGAATCTCTTTGATTGCAATGATTTTATTTAAAAAGTCCTTCAAAATATATTTATCTACATCTTAATAGACTTGTAAGACTCAGCTTGCTATCCAATTAGAATATGGCTTTTGTCAGACATAAGCTTTCTTTGTCTTTTCACGAGGCAACTGATTTCTTATCCTCTCTTTGTCCTCGAAAATCAGCTAAATGTCACCTATATGTAGCATTCCATTCTTTCCATTCCTCTCCAACAAACAGAATCATTAGTTTCTCACTCTTTCTGGTCCTCATGATTCTTTATACCAAGCTATTATAAAACATATGTCACTGTATCTTAGTTAATCCCTTATGCCCTCATTCAATTGTATACTTTTTAAATGGTGAGATACTAATCTTTGTACATGTCACCCCTTCACCTTTCCTTCTAATAAGCATTCTTTAAAAAGCACCTTGAGTAAATAATAATTATAATTAAATTTTTCATATTATGCAACACACCAGTGTCTTTGTTTCCACTCAATTTCTGAGGCTTTATCATTGACATCTACATATTTTATGTATATTAGAAATTCATGGCCATAATAAGAACTTTGAGGACCTGATGAGTTAGATTTCAATAAAAGTTTTACCTTAACTTCATTTATCTAATTCATTAATAAAAGTTTTAAATAAAAGTTTTACTCCAACTGCATTTTTCTGATTCATTAGATGTGAAAAATGGAAGGTAACATTTGTTGTAAAGCAACTTCTTTAATTTAAAAATGCTTAGAACTCTGAGCTAGCTATTAGCATGATGTCATGGAGGAGGCATTCCTGGAAAGTAATATTACTCATTCTCATCACCAATGTACATTTAAAGGTCGAAATCTGAAGCTCATCATCTTATATGTGGGCAATCACCTTGGGAAGTATTGACTTTTCCCTGTTACTTCTTCATTCTCAAATAATTGTTCTTTCCTAAAGTAACTTATCAAAGTTTAGCAGGACTCTTACTTTTATTGTGGCACTATCTTTTACATTCAAAACCTAAGATAGCATTAGCTGTTTGATTACAACTATCATTTCAATGAGGATCTAATTTAATTAAGTACCTGGGTTCTTTTCATGTCAGGTCTGCTTGTCTCTTACTGGTACGTTTTATTCTTTCAAAACTAAAATATAAATAAATTTATTAAAAGATATATATATATAGGCCGGGCGCGGTGGCTCACGCCTGTAATCCCAGCACTTTGGGAGGCCGAGGCGGGCGGATCACGAGGTCAGAAGATCGAGACCATCCCGGCTAAAACGGTGAAACCCCGTCTCTACTAAAAATACAAAAAATTAGCCGGGCGTGGTGGCAGGCGCCTGTAGTCCCAGCTACTTGGGAGGCTGAGGCAGGAGAATGGCGTGAACCCGGGAGGCGGAGCTTGCAGTGAGCCGAGATCGCGCCACTGCACTCCAGCCTGGGCGACAGAGCGAGACTCCGTCTCAAAAAAAAAAAAAAAAAAAAAAAAAAAAAAAGATATATATATATATATATCCCTGTTAAATTTCCTTTGAATCTATCTATCATTCTAAACCACAAAGATCATTCTTTTTCTGTTTTGCAGACTCACTACCCTCCTATAAAGAGGAGGTAACCCGTAAATTCAACAGGAGGCAAATGATTAATTAAACTGTGGTACATCAATATCATGGAATACTGGAGGCCATTAATTGATATTTATGAAAACTGTAAAATAGCACGGAGAAATGTTTATGATGTAATATGATACATACAAATTAAATCTTTAAAGTTTCATAAATGCTTTCACAAATAATGTAAATAAATATTTGTGGAAGAAAATACGGCAAAAGATTGATTCCAGGTGGTCAAATTATGGTTGCCTTTTTTTTTTCTTTTCTTGTTCTCTTTTCCCAGAATGTTCTAGTCTTCTACATTGATTTTTAAATTTAAAAAAAAAATTAAGAAAAAACAGATGGAGATTTTAGGTTATTATTCAGAGAAATAAGAAAAAGTGCAATTTTTCTAAAATTACTTGGCTAACTCCTGAGTTCCTGCTGCACTGCAGTGTTTCCAGCCTCACATGGAGAGGTTTTTTTTGCTATATATGGCCTCAAAATTTGTTTTCCAGCTTCTAAGCTTTAACATATGTACTTTAATCTGGACAAAAACATGTCCATGAATATGACACAATAAGATACACAGTTCATTGGCCCATAGGTTTTCCATACAAAGTGAGAATCATCTGGAATGTTTTTCTACCATTACTCTTGTTATAATCTTATATAACATTCAAGCTTCATTTAAGAACAACCTCCTGCATGAAATCCTTTCAGCCTCCCCAACTGGAGGTGTTTTTCCCAGCCTTTGTGACATTCCTCTGAAATGTAGCCTGTGTTGCCTTACTTTTCTTGTACATTTATGCCCTATGCTTACTCCTTCATCTCAACAAACACACACACGCACACACACACAAATGCACATGCACACTTACACATAATGCACTGATTGTGGGCAAGTATTTTGTTCTGGGAGAAAAGCTACTAGAAGAGTTATTTAGCAGTGCAATTTCTTTGTTAATTTGTAAGATGATTCTAGTTTGTAGAAGGTTAATATGTTTATTTTTTATGGAAGAAAATAAGTTGAAGTTACCTGGAATAAAATGAATAACAACAAAAATAAAATTATTCTTTTAGTCTATGCTGTTTGTCAGAAAAAAAAATCAAGAATCTAGGCTATAAACCATGCGGTAAGGGGCTTGAGCCATGTTTCTCCCCCACCCCACCCCCAAGTACTCAGCTGTAAGTTTCATGAGCACAGCTACCCTGACACGCCACTCCCACTTCCCTCACCGATGCTGCTTTTTACCTCAGGTCCTTTGGTGTCTTTTTCCAGTGTCTGCACCCACACTCATCTGCTCCAATACTGTTGACCATTTCCAACTCCTCTTCCTGCTCTCTTTCAGTCTGTGACATTGATGAGTGACACATTTGTTACCCCTGACAGTCTCACTGTCTTTCACTCTCCATGCAACAAACGTTCCCTCAGGTGATGTAGCTCTTTCAGCCAGTTTTAAATCACTCAGGGTCTAAGTAATTTTGGCCTCAAAAAGCAGCCCTTCACTCTGAAGTTTATCTCTCTTTCATTTCAGGACAGTTCCCAAGTCCTACGGAATCTGAGTCTGAAAATCTTCAAAGTGACATTTCCCAATAGCCTTTTTCTATGAACCCTAAGCCAATCTTCAAAAAGAAATACATAATATCCCTTGACTAATCCCCAGTCAAGAATGAGACCCTACTCTTCCAGAAGCACAATTCTTCCCTTGCCCTGTATGTATGGGGCCTTACTCTTCCTAATTTCCAAGAACTTGACTTTGAGCCCAAGTCCCATTTGTATATTTCCCCTTCTCCCAAACTTTCTGGGGGCCCCAAAGAAAAACAACATACCTGAGGTCCTGCTATGATGTTCTAGAGTTCCTGATGTAGCAATGTAAATTTAGCCCCTCAGCTATTCAAGGCTTTCTGTAATGCAGATATAAACTGGACTCCTAGAAGTTTGTGGGTATTGTGCATTGACGATTGGAGGAAATTGAAAAGGCAAATACTTGGGGCGGAAAAAAGCCCTAATATCTAGTGAGTTCTCTAACAGATAGGAATGAATTGTTTATTCATTATTGAAATTAGAGGTCCAATCACATTTTAAAAATCTTGCTGAAATGGCTGGGCACAGTGGCTTGCACCTGTAATCCCAGCTACTTGGGAGGTTGAGGTGGGAGGATTGCTTCAGGCCAGAAGTTCAAGACCAGCCTGGGCAACACAGTGAAACTCCCATCTCAAAATTTGCTTAAATTGTGACAATGGGTTCTAGGTACTTGGAAGCTCTTTATACTATTATCTTTACTTTTACATATGTTCAAAAATTTCTAGGATAAAAAAATGTGTAAGTTCAAATATAGATCTAAATTGTTTACCTATCTTAGTAAACTCCATGTCTAAGAACCTATCATGAGGGAACAATATAAAATTGTATTAGTTCATTTTCAGGCTGCTGGTAAAAACATACCCGAGACTGGGCAATTTAGAAAAGAAAGAGGTTTATTGGACTCACAGTTCCACGTGTCTGGGGAGGCCTCACAATCATGGTGGAAGGTGAAAGGCACATCTCACATGGCAGCAGACTAGAGAAGAGGGCTTGTGCAGGGAAACTCCCCTTTTTAAAACCATCAGATCACATGAGACTTATTCACTATCACAAGAATAGCACAGGAAAGACCTGCCCACACTATTCAATTACCTCCCACTGTGTCCCTCCCATAACACGTGGGAATTCAAGATGAGATTTGTGTGGGGACACAGCCAAACCATATCAAAAATATACAAAATATTATGCATATGTGTGTTCATCATAGCATTACTTTAAATCATAAAATGTTAGAAAGAAATCTAATTGGGCTCATCCATAACATTAAAATGTGTAGTAGAATAATATTTAATGACATAAGAAAAGGTTTCTTTTTTTATTTTATTGCTAAATTTAAATGAATCAGATAATAAAAATTATATATAAGATTTTGCTTAGTGAAAAACAAAATATGTATACAACATATAATGACTGAGTATATATTCAGATATGCAGATATTTTAGATATATGTCTAAATATAAACAATTTAGATATATATTTGCACATACACCATTCTTAGTCTAGAAATTTTTGAACATATATAAAAGTAAAGATGTTAGTATAAAGATGATAGTATATAGTGTATATATCCTATATATATGCACACACATATAGTTATGTATATAAACACTACATATTATATATTTATATATGTGCTGATATATATTAGAATGTAAGATATGATTATATATTAATATGTAATATATTATAACGTATATTCTTTATTAAATATTGTATTATATGTTTACATATAATAATTTTGTATAATTTATATATAATAAATTTTGAATATATATATATATAGTTTTAGACACCAACATATATATTTAGTCAACCTCATATATTCAGTTTTAGTCAGCTGGAAGTCAGAGATCATGGTGCCACCACGGTCAGGTTCTGTGACGGCCCTCTTCCTGGCTGGCAGATGGCTGCCTTTTCACCATGTCTTAACATGTTGCGGAGATAGAAACAACAAGTTCTGTGGTGTCTTTTCTTATAAGGGCACTAATCCCATCATGAAGGGCCCTCCCCTCATTACCTAATTACCTCCCAAAGGCTCATCTCTAAATACAATCACATTGTGGGTTGGTGCTTCCACATATGAATTTTGCAGACACAAGCATTCAGTCCGTAGCATATATCAATATTAAAATAATTATCTCTGGAAGATGTATTATTTCTTTTAATATTTCTGGGTCTTCTATGTTTACTACAACAAATATACATTGTCTTTATGTAATAAAGGGGAATAAGTACACAATAAATGCCCATTTCTGTGGCTTAGAAAGGCTTCTGCTTTCAGTTATAATAAGAACCAATTCTCCCATTGAGAGTAACTTTAAAAGTTTGTAAAATACAGAAAAACAATTTGAATGGCACCATCAAAATGGTACCAAAGCGACAGGTTTGAGAGGCTAAGATCATGGAAAGAAAACTCGGAAGTGAGTCTGACACTTTTCAAGGTTTTCCCATTCAATGCATTTGCTAATTCATAAGTAAAGTGGGCAGGAATGTTTAGAAGCTGATCAAAAACTGGAGAGTTGGAGAAAATTTGAGTAGAATTTTCTGCAGTCTTAGCAGCTATAAAGACATACCTGGAGTTTAGGGCTACCAACACAGTTAGGACTTGAAAGTTCAAGATCTTGTCCAGAAAGGAAGTTTGCAAAAGTGAACTTGGTACCCAGGGTCAACGATAAGTACCTGCTAAGAGGCTAAAAATCTAAGCAAGGCTATTAGCAATCTCACTGTGCTGAGCAGAGAACACATACAGTTAAGTGTCTGCTTATTTGAGGGAATACTGTATAAGCTACCTAAGATTTCTTGAAGAACTGCACCATAAAAATTAAGGTAGAGTGGAAATAGATCAGATCTTCAAACAGACAGACGTCAAGCATAGAAACCAATTAAGCCCTGGTTGAATTAAGGTAATCTGTTCTTCTCTGGAGGAATATAATCATCCAGAGCATGTACATTATTTCATACATGATGTCTGATATTCATTCAAAACTTACCAGGCCTATATATCAAGAGAAAAGAACACGATATAGAACAGATGGTAAAAATAGACTCATAGGGATGCAGATATTGAAGTTAATAAGCAGAGCATTTAAAATAAACTACGATTTACATGTTCAAAATTTAACAACAGGATAAAGAATTTCACCAGACAACTAGAGTTAATAAGAAGAAGTATAAAATGGAAATGGAAATCCTAAAACTGAAAAATACAATAACTAAAAAACATGCAATAAATAAGTTAAAGAGCAAATTAGACACAGCTGAAGAGAAAATTAGTGACCTATAATTTCAGTACGTAAAAAGTATCCAGGTCTAAGATTAACACATATATTTGTGGTCCCAGAAAATGACAAGAGAGAAAAGGGGCAAAAGCAATATTTGAAGAGATAATGACCAAGATTTTCAAAAATAATGAAATATATCAAACCACAAACTCAAGAATCATTATGAGCTCCAACAATGTCAAAGAAATCAATTTCTAGGCATATCATAGGAAAACCAAAGACAAGGAGAAAATCTTTAAAGCAGACAGAGGGTAAAAAAAAGACACCTTACTTTCAAAGCAGCAAGAAAGTGATAATGACAGGTGCTGTCTCAACAGAAATAATGAAAGCTACAAAGTAAAGTTTGTCTTCAAAGTGATGAAATAAAATACTTGCTAACCTAAAATTCTATTTGAAATAAAAATATACTTATAAATGAAAACAAAGGGTTTTTTGAAGTAATAACAATAATAGTTTCTTGCCAGCAGAATTGTGTAAATATAAATACTGAAAGGCATTCTTTAAGAAGGAATATAACTACAGAGAAAGGCACAGACATTGAAGAGTAAAGAGCAATGAAAAAGGTAAATATGGGGTTAAAGCTAAATAAATTTTGTCTTATAAAACAATAATAAAAATGCCTAGTGGACTTAAAAATATATAGAGTCTCTCTATGTTGTCTCAGTTGCTGACATGCCATCCGGAATGAGAAAGACCCAGAAACTTTGGGGCCACATGAGCCACGGCCACTGCCTCATCAGCAAGCACCAGAAGCACTCAGGAGGCAGTAGAATGCTGGTGGCATGCAACACCACAGGATAAACTTTGATAAATATCACTCTGGCTACTTTGGGAAAGTTGGTATGAGGATTACCACTTAGAGAGGAACCAGAGCTCCTGCTCAACTGCCAATCACAATAAATTGTGGACTTTGGTCAGTGAGCAGACACAGGAGAATGCTGCTAAAAACAAGACTGGGGCTCTCCACCATTGATGTGGTAGATTACTACAAAGTTCTGGGAAAGGGAAAGCTCCCAAAGCATCCTATCATTGTGAAGGCCAAATTCTTCAGAAGAAGAGCACAGGAGAGGATTAAAGGGTGTTGGAGTGGGGCTGGTGGTGTGAAGCCACAGGGAGGGAGGTTTGTTAAATGCTAACAACTGCTGCAAAAAAATAAAAATAACAAAACAAAATATATAGAATATTAAGATATGACAAAAAGGGCAACCAAAAAAGGGCAAAAGGAAGGTAAATGAAGTTAAAGCATCCCAAGGTACTAACATCCTTCAGGAAGTGGCAGAAATAGTGACTTACAGTGAACTGTAATAAGTCAAGGATGAGTATTTTAATCTCATGGTGAACTGTAATAAGTCAAAGATGAATATTTTAATCTCTAAGAAAACGATAAAAGAAGGTGTATAACTAAGATCATTGAAGGGTTAAATTATATAATAAAATTGATTCATTTTTTATTATAAAGTGGATGAGACAGATATAAAAAAATAGCAAAATAAGTGTAAACCCAAATATTTCAATGATGACATTAAATGTAAAAGGTATCATATTATAATTAAATGAGAAACACTGTAAAACTGGGGAAAAAAAAATCATATGCTCCTTTCAAAAGCCCCCCGCCCCCACCACCTTAAATATAAGGACACATAGAGGTTGCTGGAAAAAAGTATACCATCAGTGAGGTGTTGAAGCCGACTCACACTAGCTCATGAGCATCAGTGATCACATTTTTGGAAATATTGTGAGCCAGTTAATGTCCTGCTACAAGCTTGAAATCAGTCCTGGTAAGAGTGGCTACATCATGGAAGGCGGCAAACGCCACAAATCAGTGCTTCTCATTCCTAGAGAGCTGATTATTAAAAATGTACAACATACCTTGGTATATAATGGAAACAAAACCAAAAGAAAACCGATATAGTTATTTTAATATGAGTCAAAGTAGACATAAGACTACTACTAGATATTAAGAGGGACATTTTGGAATGCTAAAAAGGCAGTACACTGGCTAGGCATGGTGGCTTATGCCTGTAATCCCAGCACTTTAGGAGGCCAAGGTGGGGGGATCCCTTGAGGCCAGGAGTTCAAGACCAGCCTGGCCAACATGGCTAAGCCCTGTCTCTACTAAAAATACAAAAATTAGCTGGGCAATCACTTGAACCCGGGAGGTGGAGGCTGCAGTGAGCGGAGATCATGCCACTGAACTCCAGCTTGGGCGACAGAGCGAGACTTTGCCTCAAAAAAACAAAACAAAACAAAACAAAACAAAAAAAGGCAATACACCAGGAAGATAAAACAATTCTTGAAATATCTATGCCCACTAACATAGCTTCAAATATATAAAGTTGATAGGATTAAAAAGAGGAATAGTTCCCCCATCATGGTAGGAGATCTTAACATATCTTACTATTTTTAATAAAACAAAGGAAAAAATTAGTGAGGGTATACAACTGTGTTGTTCAATATGAAAGTCACTAGGCAAACGGGACTGACTATTAAGCACTTAAAATGTGGCTAATGCAAATGGAGAATAGAATTTTTTATTTCATATATAATTTTAATTAATTTAGTTTAAATTTTTTAAGCTGAAGCACTGTAAATTTTTTTTATTGTTAACCACAATTTTATTCTTTTGGTAAGGCTTCATTTCACTTTCATTATTGAGGACTAAGCTCTAATTCTTTTTTTTTTTTTTTTAATCTTGCTCAGATTCCTATCTAAAGGGTCTGGGGAGTCATGCCCCACAAACCATAAATTCTCATCAGATGAGGTTATTTAATCCCGTATATCATGGCTTACTTTCCAATCTGACTCTGGCATAACAAGGAAGATGCAGAAATGAGTAGAGATGCGAAAATTGGTATTATAACCAATACAATACTTTTTTTTTTTTTTTCAGACGGAGTCTCGCTCTGTGGACCAGCCTGGAGTGCAGTGGTGTGATCTCAGCTAACTGCAACCTCCGCCTCCTACGTTCAAGCAATTCTCTGTCTCGGCCTCCCGAAGAGCTGGGATTAGAGGCGCCTGCCACCACACCCGGGTACTTTTTGTGTTTTTAGTAGAGACAGGGTTTCACCACCTTGGCCAGGCTGGTGTGGAGCTCCTGACCTCGTGATCTACCTGCCTTGGCATCCCAAAGCTAATAGAACAACTTTTTAAGAAGACTGAACAAAAGGATGCTGCAAATTCTACAATGAATGGCAATTTTACTTTTCTATGACAAAGCAAAGCAAAAAAAGCTGTTTGTTTGTTGTGTAAAAATATTTTTAAGGATTGAAGTGAAGAATATTTATACATCTTTATCTCTATGTAAGAAGTTCACCCTCAGTAGTCAGAAAAATTGGCAACACTGTTCTCCTGAAATCAGGATTGAATGTCCAATTTTAAAAAGTTAAACAATATATAACATGATCCAGCCTTATAACTTAGTCCTTCTATAAAACAGCTTGAGTTTTGCAGAAAATAGAAAACCATTTTTAGATAGAGATATGAGAAAGTAAATTCTAATTTTAGAAATGAAAATTTTGCTAGAAAGTTCTGAGGAAGGTAAAAAAAGATATTTTACTTTCGATAATCTTGTAAATATCTTTGGTTGAGCCACTAAACCATTGATCATAGATTATGAAATTTTTCTAAAAAATCAAAGATTGACTGAAAATTTGAAAAATTGCAAGTAATTTTCTTTAGCTTTACTTGAGTCATACCACATAACAGACCCTGCCCAATTAATATTTGGAGCATACAGTGTCTTGGATGTTCCAATTTACAACAACAAAAAAAAATGTGTACATTTGCAACCTAAAAATTTGAACTTTTGGCATGGATATTCTTCAATCTTTTACATCTGTCAAAGAAGAATTTCAACTAGACACGAAAAAAATGGTTTCTATCACAACAGATGGTGCTTTGGTTATTTTAAATCAAAACTCTAGGTTTACTAGAATCTGAAACCACAGACTCAAGTTTTCCTCTTACTTCATTCCAATATGTAATACTTAGTGAAAATATTTGTGCTCATCTTTCTGAAACAGTCTCTATGAAGAGTGTCATGCATACTGTAAAATTCTTCAGTATGTAAATATAAATGTTATGAATCATCAATTTGTGGAACAATTAAAAGAAATAAAAGACAATGAATGTAATTGTCTTGTGTTCTTTGCCAATTGTTGTTGGTTGAGTTGTGGAAAAGTTTTACAAATATTTATTGCAATGTTAAGTCCAATTCTAAAATTTTTGAAACCAAAGGAATGCCTATCAAATATTCAATAATCAAAGGGAAAAAAACAGTAGTTTGATTTGTGCTTACTAACTGGTATCACACTGCATATGAAGGAGCTAAATTTTCAAGTTCCAAGGAAAGAAAAAGCTATTTAACCTACCTAGACAAGTGTGTGAATTTATATTGACAATGAATTTTTTTATACTACTAATCAATAATGATGATTTTTATACACTTTCATAATATGAATCAATATATAGAAGATTTTAGTTGTAATTGAAAATATGTAAATTGGTAACAGACACTACAGGAAATTTAGGTAAGGCTTTCTTGATACTGATAAATTTTAAATTGCTTTCACTTTTCATAATACCCCTTTGAAATTGATATTAATTTGTATATGGTAGTTTGTGTAGCTACTATTATGAGTTATTTTTGTACTTATTTTTATTTTGCGAATACCGTTTAGAACAAGAATACCCTGTCTTGTCCTTCAGTTTTGTTTTTAATTATTTAAAGCATAAGTTCTTTGACCAGACTTTATTTCTACTTTGTGAAATCGTAACTCGTATATTTTACAGGATTCTATTACAATAAATTCTATTTTATGATACAATGTAAAAAAATTTAGTAAATTTACTTAACTCGTATAGATGACTTTTTTTCTTTTTTGAGACAGAGTCTCACTCTGTCCTCCAGGCTGGAGTGCAGTGGCACAATCTCTGCTCACTGCAACATCTGCCTCCCAGGTTCAACTGATTCTCCTGCCTCAGCCTCCCAAGTAGCTGGGACTACAGGCACCCGCCACCACGTCCGACTAATTTTTTGTATTTTTAGTAGAGACGGGGTTTCACTGTGCTAGCCAGAATGGTCTCGATCTCCTAACCTCGTGATCCACCTGCCTCGGCCTCCCAAAGCACTGGGATTACAGGCCTGAGCCATCGCTCCCAGCCAACTTTTGAAAATTATATGCTTTCCTTTCAAAGTCAAATCAAGTTTTCTAAAACAGATAAATCTATTTTCTCAATGTGGATGTGAATTTTTTTAAACGACATTTTTGCCATTTGATTCGGGTACTAAAAACATTTAAGACTGGTTGGAACAACCTGGATATGTGAGTCTGTGAATCTACTTTTTCAACAGTAAATTTTATGAGATCTAAACACAGGTCAAAAGTTAGTACCTGCCATTGCACTCCAGCCGGGGCACAAGAGCAAAATTCCATCTCAAAAAAAAAAAATTAGTACCTGCATTGAGATGTGCTGTATATATAAATTATGTATCAGATATTGAAGCCTAAATATGAAAAAATTTCATTAATGATTTTGTACTAATCACACTTTGAAATGAAAATGTTTTGGATGTATTGTGTTAAATAAATATATGACAAATTAATTTTACCTATTTTTTACTTTATAATGTGAGCTACTAGAAAATTTTAAAATAAGAATTACATATGTAGTTAGCATTATATTTCTATTGGATTGTACTAATATAGAAGATTTCAACAGCAAGAATGATTGACGTGACTTAATTGACATTTATAAAACACGGTACTCTACAACTACATAATATACATATTTTCACGTGCACTTGGAACATTTATCAAAATTTATCATATGCTGGTCCCTAAAGCTAGTTTTAATAATTTTCAAAGAACTGAAATTACTCAAAGTGTAATTGCCAATGTCAATATAACACTCAAGCAAACAAAAATAAGCCAGCTGGATTTATTTTATACAGTGGTTGAAATGTCAAGTGTGATGAATATAAAGCTACATATAAGAAATAAATAGTGCATAAAATCACAGCACTCAATAATATAGAGACCTACACATGTGTTAACAATATATATTTTAAAAATAAATAGGCCGGGCCCTGTGGCTCACGCCTGTAATCCCAACACTTCGGGAGGCCAAGCGGGTCGGATCACCTGAGGTCGGGATTTGGAGACCAGCCTGACCAACATGGAGAAACCCCATCTCTACTAAAAATACAAAATTAGCCAGGTGTGGTGGTGCATGCCTGTATTCCCAGCTACTCGGGAGGCTGAGGCAGGAGAATTGCTTGAACCCGGGAGGCGGAGATTGCCGTGAGCTGAGATTGTGCCATTGCAGTCCAGCCTAGACAACAAGAGCGAAACTCCGTCTCTAAATAAATAAATAAATATTATGTGAAAGGACCTTAGGTTATTTTAGATATTATTGTCAATAAAATGGTTAAAGACTATTTTTAAACATGATTTTTATTAGTTTAGAAAAATGAGGTCTTTAGTAGTATTTCTGAATAACAAAAAAATAGACACTATAGCTTGATGAGTAACAATGTAATGTGAACTTTCCAATGAGACCATTTTTAAGACTCAACTTAATTTTTTATTCACAATGGTGGGAATTCTGTATTGCAGTATTTACCCACAAAACCCAGAACTTTCTACCACAGGAATATAATAATGGGATTTACTTTGTAAGAACACCATTATCAAATTAACAATTATGATTCATAAATAGATAAAATATATTTTTTCTTAATTTCCAGGACAATTAGTGGATATTCAAAAGGGGTTTCTTTTCTTTTACTTTTTCTTTTTTTAAAATAAAATAAAATAGAAGCTACTTTTAGGAGGAAAAAAAAATGAACCATTCAGGTTATTTGGGTTCAATACATGTAGAAATAAGATAGAAAACAAGCCATTATAGAAACTGGCACTTTGCTTTATATTTGCACGTTCAGTACTTGTTTCGCAAAGACTAAGAATGTGTGAATATTGTCCACCAGTTGGCTGATTTAGAAGAACTGTGCTCTAAAAGTCCCTAGTAGCCTAAACTTTTAATTGGACACTAAAAAAAAAAAAATCACTTGCAGTAATCAAAAAGTTCAATATTAGAAGTAAAAAGGATAATAAGCAGGAAGACCTCATAAAGCTATATTTATTTAAGGAGTAAAGACTAAATTGGCTTGCTAGGGAGGGTAAAGTGAATTACCTGTAAACTCTTCCACACAGCACTACACTCCTATTAAACACGTTGGAAGAGAGTCTTTGTAGCAAGAACCACAGAACACTTTTCTTCTCTCCAAAGTGGGTTTGCTCCCCAAAACTACAGGATGGTGAAGAACGTAGATCCCTCAGTTTTCTAAATTTCCCTCTGTCTGACCTTACTGTTTTACCAGTATTTGTTCTAGTCTTAATTTTTTTTATTGTCTTCTTCCTTTAAGCAGTCTCAAATCCTTTGTGGAATAGCACAGTTATTCATGAAGGAAAGCAATTAAAAATAGGCTTAAAAATATTATATTTTTTACCTTCTTCATTGTCAAGATCCCATAATATAACCTGTTAGCTATGTTTCTCAATCGATCATCCTTAATTTCATTTCTTCTTACCTAGGTTGCTGGGATGGCTTGTATCTTCATATGTAATGACCAAAATGTCCTGCAAGTTAATGAACATGGTTATTCTCAACCCAATGGCTAGTGCCTCCTCTCAGATTCATTTATTTATTTTTTTTTAATTCACAAAAGTAGGAGGCCTACTTGAAAGCTATGGAGAGCATTGTCCAGCCACTGGCCTCCTGTACTGGGAGAGTGTAAGCACAGTGGCCTGTGGGCCAGCATATCTCTTATTTATCACGGCCACTGAGGTCTGGAGTTAGGCACAGAGGTGAGCATCAGGCCAGAGCTCAATGAATAACCAGTCATTACAGGTAGACTGATGGAACTGGGAATCATATGCCGAAGAGTTAACAGAGCGTGGAATAATGAGGTTAATATAAATAGTATGAATTAGTTTTAGCAAGCATTGCCCAATTCACAGATCTACAGAATCAAATATAAAACCTAATCATTTCACCTCATTCAAAGCACTAGTGATCTTTATTCATGTATTTTCTCTGGAACATACTTACTTAAAGTCATGGCCGAGTATTAATTTTTGTCTTTGATGCTTTGAGGTGATAGGAGTAGGTTGACTGACCTTATTAAAATCTCTGTGAGGTTTTCTAAAAAGGTGCTCCATCGAGTGCATACAGACATGGACTCACACTTTCGCAGAGATAGCTAATGGCATGATACCCAAAGGATTATAAATGATTCTGCTATAAAGACACATGCACACATATGTTTATTGTGGCACTATTCACAATAGCAAAGACTTGGAACCAAGCCAAATGTCCATCAATGATACACTGGATTAAGAAAATGTGGCACATATACACCATGGAATACTATGCAGCCATAAAAAAGGATGAGTTCATGTTCTTTGTAGGGACATGGATGAAGCTAGAAACCATCATTCTGAGGAAACTATCGGAAGGACAGAAAACCAAACACCGCATGTTCTCACTCATAGGTGGGAAATGAACAATGAGAACACTTGGATACAGGGTAGGAAACACCACACACCAGGGCCTGTAGTGGGGTGGGGGGAGGAGGGAGGGATAGCATTAAGAGATACACCTAATGTAAATGATGAGTTAACGGGTGCAGCACACCAACATGCCACATGTACACATATGTAACAAACCTGCACGTTGTGCACATGTACCCTAGAACTTAAAGTACAATTAAAAAAAAAAAGAAAAGAGATTACAAAACACTGCTGTTCCTGACACATGAAGCCCATTAAAATCTGATTTCAAAAATCTAATACAGATTTCTTCTAGAAGTTTAAATGTAAACAAATCTTAAAAGCTATATGATTTATAAAGATAAATCTGCTGAAATATATATATATTGAGTCTAGCAGCCACTTACGGTGTCACTGAAGCCTTGCAGGAAAGCGGCATGCCTGGACTCTCTCTCACAACATTACTGACATGAATACAGGCTACTTCTATAACAATAATGACATTATAGAATTAGCAGCTGACTTTTTAAAGTCAGAGACTTGTTATACCTTGTAGGTATTGATAGCATTAGTTTTTAAATAGAAAATAATATAACCAAAAACAAATAAACAACAAAAAAGATAATGAACTTGGAAGTCAGACAGACCTGTCACCTTTCAGCCACTTGATTTTGGAGAAGTCTCATGACCTCACTGGGCCTCGGTTTCCTCAGCACCTGGTCAATAAACGTATTTCCATCTGCTTTATTTCTTCAACCATAAAAAAAATACTGATGAAACTTTTCAGAACTAGCAAGTCATGAAGATAAGATACAAAGTCAAATTATGTTTTTTCTATTGTAGTCAGCTGAAAAATGGCTTCCCAAGTATGTCCATTTCCTAATTCCCAGATCCTGTAAATATATTACCTTACATGGCAAAAGAGACTTTGTAGATGTCATTAGATTAAGGATATTGAGATAGGAAGAGTATCCTGAATTATCCAGGTAAAACCAATGTAATCGCAAGGCTCTTTAAAAGATAGAGACAGGCAGGTTAGAAAGACAAGAAGATGTGCCGATGGAAGGAGAAATTAAAGAGTAAGAGAGAGATTTGAAGATGCTATACTGCTGACTTTGCAGATGAAGGAAGGGACCACCAGCCAAGGAATGCAAGTAGTTTCCAGATACTGGAAAAAACAAGGAAACAATTCTCCCCTAAAGAATCCAGAAGGAATGCAGCCCTGCTAACATCTTGATTTTAGGACTTCTGACATCCAAAGTGTAAGGTAATACATTTGTGTTGATTGAAGCTGCTAAGTTTGTGGTAATTTTTTACAGCAACAATACATCTTTCAACACTAATTCCACTCAAACAATTCCATAGTGGATGATGTGGCATTCTGCCCAGCTAGTGGTAAGTTCCTTGGAAAAAATTGCAACACTTGTCAATAGACTGAAAATGTGTTCATCATTTGACCCAGTCATACCACTTCTAGGACTCAATTACAAGTAAACAATGATAAACTTGCACAGTGCTCATCCTGGTACTATTTATAATAACAAAAAATGAAAATAGCATAACTATCCACTGATAAGGGTGTGGCTGCATAAATTATGTAGCATGTAAATTATGTATGAAACATTATCAACTTATACATGCAGTACATCCTCAACTGTATTTTTTAATGCCTGGATAAGAATAAAATGACAATTAATAGAAAATATAACAAAATGTATGAAGAGGTTATCCTCTAGAAGGTGAGTAATTTTTATTTTTCTAAGTAATATCTTTGTGTATTTCCCAAATTTTCTATAAAGATATATATGATTCTACATATGATTCAATTATTAAAAAGAAGTGTTACACTATGTTGGTAAATCATGCCAAAATTCAATATGAAAATGGATTATTAATAAGAAAGAGACTCCTGACATAATAGAAAACCATCAATCTAAAAAAAAAGAGAAAAATAATCTGCACATTTAAAAATTTCAACATATTTTTTAAGTATGGCAATATCTAATTAAGCAAAATTATGTTTCACATATGTAACTTTTCTGGATAATTGAAGCCACTTATTCCCTTTACATTCTCACCATTTCAGTGATCTTAATACTACGACGGTGGAAAATTTTGAATCATGTGTTATATATTTCTTTTTTTTTTTTTTTCTTTTTTTGAGACAGAGTCTCGCTTTGTCGCCCAGGCTGGAGTGCAATGGCGCTATCTCAGCTCACTGCAACCTCCATCTCCCGGGTTCACGCCATTCTCCTGCCTCAGCCTCCTGAGTAGCTGGGATTACAGGCGCCGCTACCATGTCCGGCCAAGTTTTTGTATTTTTAGTAGAGACCGGGTTTCGCCATGTTGGGTAGACTTATCTCGAACTCCTGACCACAGGTGATCCACCCGCCTCAGCCTCCCAAACTGCTGGGATTACAGGCATGAGCCACCGCGCCCGGCCTCATGTGTTATATATTTCTACCCATCATTAGATCAGGAGTCAACATACATGATTTGTAGGATCGTTTGATACCAGGTGCACCGCTTAAGATGTGTGTATTTCCAATTCCTTACCTATAAACTGGAAATAAAAATTCATACTCTGGCTACCATACAAAGTGTTTGGGGGGGTCAAATGAGATAATGTGTATTTAAAAGCCTTCAAAACTAGAAAGTACTTTACAAAAATAAGAAATATAAATTATTTTTGTATTCTAGGAAATTCAGAGCTAATATTGTAAACATCAGTATTTGTTGGATGCTGCATTAAATGAAGCCACATGAGTTGTCTAAATATTCAGTGCTAATTGTTCTTCATTTCATAGGCCAATGTCCCATGTTTTTGTGAATTAAGTCTTCTTTTTAGAGTCTATGCCATGATTATTTCTTAAAAGGCATAAGAATGAATGGGGGAGAGAATCTGAAGATACAGGACTAAAATGTATATGTATATGTGTGTGTCTATGCATGTTTATATATATACAGGCAAACACACTTATATGCACCCTCTTTTTTGTTTATCCATGTTTTAATTGTATTTAAAAAACAGCAGTTCTCTCTCCTTTTAAAAAATTTACTACTCTATTTTTCATATAGTTAAGACTTTGGCCATAAATCTACCCTATATCCTCATGTCAGGAAAAATGCTCTAACTTCTAGTCCTGTGAGACTTCTTCTTTTTCTGCCATGCAGATTCAATCCTCTAGCCCTTCTGTTTCTTCTATACACATGGAAGATACAGGCCTCAATTCTGAGAAGAGAAGCTATGAGAAAAATGAAACAACCACTGACTCCTCAGGGTTATTTTATTTGCACTTTCTGAGTCATTTTGATTCACACAGGTAAGAGTCAGGGTTTAAATTAGACAATTTCTGGCTGGGAAAGTTATACTGTTCCTAAAATGGAATGTGGAGAAAGGAGGTGTGACAATAGTGTAAAATGACTCATCGTCAGCCACAATTAGACTTTCTCCATTGCCTGCCAAGTGCTTAACAGTCCTGGGCTCAGAGCTGCACAGTCTCTGTTAAAGGCCGCCTTGGCTTCTGGTAATCTTCCTCAGTTACTGAAAATTATTGATCCTGTTTCCACACATCTCAATGTTAATCGGTTTCTCCTGAAGTGTCCCCATGGACACCAGAGACCAGCTTGACCTGTTAAATAAGCAGAGTTGATTCCTATTAATATTTTCTCTCTTTTAAGTTGAAGAGTTAGACACCACCAACTGAGGCAACTTTTAATTTGTTCTTAAAATAGGACAATCATTTCTGGATGACCCACCCACATGAGTCCCTATCACTAATAGTGATTCAGCAGTATAACTGGTACCAAGAGAGAAGGCAGGACAGGGCGAGACCTAGATGGAAAGAAAAAGATCGCATAAGAGTTAAAATCATATGGTCATATGGGCTTTAGAATCAATGAATTCAAATCCTTGATCTATCACTTCTCAGCTATTTCCAATTATCAATAAAATGAAATATAAAATATAGATACTCAGTTCTCAATATAGTCCTCTCAAGAATGCAAAGAAAAACTTCCATCATGGGATGCTGGCATTTCTGGTTGCAGCATATATGTAATCTGCATTTAAAAAGTAATAAATTTAAAAATCCAAGGTGCCTAAGAGAAAACAATACAAAGAAACAAATCAATCTGTGTGTTTGCAGTTTTGTTTTTGGCTTTTGATTTGCTAATGCTTTATGAAAATCAAATTCTAGATCAACAGAAGATAGATTTCAACAGCTTCCACGATAGCCTGTGTTCCTTGGGACAGCATTGGCTTTATATCTAATACTTTCCACTGTTTTTTAACTGAGTCTGCTTGAAGGACACACACTGGGTTTCACTGCCTTATTGCATGTCCTGTGGCACCCTGAACAGTGTTAGGCATATAGTAGATATGCAATGAATATCAATTTACTGAAAGAACTCACGATTCTATTGTCCTCAGTGCCTCTGAATGCTTCCTATGACTGTAATGCAAATGTTTGTCTTTTTCTGCAGATGCCATCAGTTAGGTTTGCCCTTTCTAAGGGAACTCAACTGTTTCCTGGAGTGTTGCTATTTGAATTTCATACTTTTCTGTTGTAGAAACAAGATGATGCCCTCAACCCCCATCATTCTGAAGAAAGACAAGTGCAACCAACCTGCTTCTCCAGAGATCTCCCAAGACATCAACAATGGGGTCAAGGAAAACAGACACCCTTAGGGTAAGCCCCACTGCCCCGCAGAGGAAGAGAGAACTAGTATACTTGCTCTAAGAACTCACCTCCCGTTGACCTACAACCTTACCTACCCCCAGCATCAGTGTAAAGAGGGGGCTCTAGAAACTCACCCTCTCTGGCCCCCTCTAGTCAGAGCCTCACCCCACCCTCTCCTTTGGATCCACATTATTCACTTTATTCCTGTTTATGAAAACCACCTCAAAAGCCCCAAACTGCAAGGCCACCCCTCATCTCCCACATTGTGAGGGTCTGCTCATCCCCATTCTGTCCATCTCTTCCACCTTTCCCCCAATTCTGAGATCCTTCCATTGTGCTATTTGGATTCCTAGCAAATCACAGAGGACAAATCCCCCTTATTGCCATCTCTTCTCTGAATGTTCTCTCACTTTCTTGTTCTTCAAACAGAAATCAGGTCCTCGGGAGTCTTTCCACCCCACTGACACCCATGATTCATTGATTCTTAAATCTCGTTGCTGTCCACTGCTCCTGCCCTTCTTGGTGGTTTCACTCCCCTCCTTATGCAGCTGAAACTTCATAGTTAATCCTTTGCATGTACCCTTTTGCCCTTAACCCTCTCTCATTTGCTCCCACTTCCTTGGCAAACCACAAACTTGGCTAAATCCAACATGACATTCCCTGCAGCCCACTCTAGCAGTGGCTGATTTTCCCCCAGACCTGGAAGGGACTAAGTGTCCTCCTTGGCTGCCCACAACCTCCATTGCTGCTTTTGGGCTGTTCTCTTTCCTTCAATTCTGAATTTCACTGTAACTCTCATCTGCTGCCCCCAAGTTCTGCCTCTGCCTCCTTGTTTTCCATAGGAACTCATGGTTCACCGTCACTTCTTACTATTTTGGTGCTAATCCTTAGTCATTTCAATATACATGTAACTGAGACTTTTAACGCCTGGACTACCCCCATGGTCATACTCTAAGACCTCATGATTACCATCCTTTACAGAGCTGTGCACCCTTCACAGCCTCAGGTGTGTACATCCCACTCTCTGCCAGCTGCCTCCTAACTGCAGCTCACTCCCTCTAATGCTTTATGCCAACTGTCTTTCCACCACACTGACAACCAATATTCATCAATTCTTAAATCCCTTTACTGTTCACTGTTCCTTGGTTCCTTGATGGTTTCGCTCCCCTCTTTACGCAGCTGAAACACCATAGTCAACCTTTGCATGCACCCTTTATGCCCTTATCCTCTCTCATTTGCTCCCACTTCCTTGGCAAACCACAAACTTGGTTAAATCCAAATCAGCACCTTCTCTGCCTACAATCTCTTTAAATTTGTGACCACTAAATCAAGTGGCCTCTTTATGCTGCCCAGCAGTCATAAGATACCTTGCTTTCCAAAGTGACTATTCCACACATTCTCTTCTCCTCTGAAATTCCACACTTCCTCCCCCATTCTTATTCTCAGCCAATGATCTTTCTTCTATTTCTCTGAGAAAATAGAAGCAAATGGAAGAGAACTTCCACAGACTCCCACCATCACTGCTGCTCACCACCAGCATCTATGTTCAATGACTCTGACTTTCTACCTGTTACCAGAGCTGATCCTCTGCAAAGCCAGCCCTGACCCTTGGGTACTAGATCATAGCTAAGGGAAGTTTTACATTGCAACTCATTAATTTTTCCTAGCTGCAAGGAGCTTCTAAAAGAATTTGAAAAGGACATTTCATAACAGTTTGTCAGTACAGGAGATTTTACTATTATTAATATACACAACAGATCACAGTGAAGGAAAGACTTGACTTGGGTGGCCATGACAGCTGACTGTGGGCAGCCGTGAAGTAATGGAAAGAACACCAGTTAGGTGTTTCAATGCTAGTGAGTTTAAAGTGACCTTGGGAAATATTCCAGAGTTATAACAAACTGAGTTTGAATCATAATTCTGCTACCAACTGGCTTTACTATTTGGACAAATTATAAAGGCCTTTAGTTTCCTGTACATAACAGTACTGCCTCATGTGTTGTATTGAGGACTAAGTGCACAGAATCATATAAAATGTTTTTTTTGTTTGTTTTTTTTTTTTTTTTTTGAGATGGAGTCTTGCTCTATCGCCCAGGCTGGAGTGCAGTGGCGCTATCTCTGCAAGCTCTGCCTCCCAGGTTCACACCATTCTCCTGCCTCAGCCTCCCTAGTAGCTGGGACTACAGGTGACTGCCACCACACCCGGCTAATTTTTTTTTTTTTTGTATTTTTAGTAGAGACGGGGTTTCACTGTGTTAGCCAGGATGGTCTGGATCCCCCTGACCTCGTGATCCACCCACCTTGGCCTCCCAAAGTGCTGGGATTACAGGTGTGAGCCACCACACCCAGCCTAAAATGTTATTGAAATATATAATTTTCATGTTTAGTTTCTTCTTGATGTGTTCATTTTACATGGTTAAAAAGTAAAAATATTTTAATATCATTTCCATGCCATGGAAAGAAGAAAAGTGACCAAACCTTGCCCCAGCCCCCAAGATGTCCATGTCTTACTCCCCAGAATCTGTGACTACGTTACCTTACCTGGAAAAGAGAGTCTGTAGATGTGATTAAGGATTTTGACATGCAGAAGTCATCTTTTATTATCTGGGTGGGCCCAGTGTCATTATAAGAATGCTTAAAAGTAGAGGCTGGCGCGGTGACTCATTCCTGTAATCCCAGCACTTTGGGAGGCCGAGGCAGGTGGATCACAAGGTCAGGTGTTCAAGACCAGCCTGGCCAATATGGTGAAACCTCGTCTCTACTAAAAATATAAAAATTAGCCAGGCGTGGCAGTGTGTGCCTGTAGTCCCAGCTACCCGAGAGGCTAAGGCAGGAGAATTGTTTGAATCCGGGAGGTGGAGGTTGCAGTGAGCTGAGATCATGCCACTGAACTCCAGCCTGGGCGACAGAGCAAGACTCTGTCTGGAAAAAAAAAAAAAAGTAGAAAAGGTACTCAGAAGAGTGAGGTAGAGGAAGATTGACTACAGAAAAGGAGGTCAAAATGACTCAGTGTGAGAAAGACTCAGTGCATCCTTGCTGGCTTTGAAGATGGCAGAGCAGTGCCAAGACATGTGGGCTGCCTCTGGAAGCCGGACAAGGCAAGCAAGTGTATGCTGCCCTAGAAGCTCCAGAAAGGAACACAGCCCTGCTGACATAGCCCTGCTGACACTTGGATTTTAGCCCAGGGAGACCCATTTTAAACTTTTGACCTCCAGAACTGTAATATAATAAATATGTGTTGCTCTAAGCTACTAAATTTGTGACAATTTTTTATAGCGCTATAGGAAACTAATAAGCATGTGTGTTCAGTACAACCTATGCCTCACCCCCACTTTGCCCTGCTCCTAATGGTAACCACATTTACCATTTTCTGCTTTATTCTCCCTGTGGATATATTTTTAATAAACAAGTACATGTGTGTTTACTCTAGCTTTTTTCTTTCTTATGCAAATATTCTATGCTATATACAACAACTCTGCTCCTTGTTTTTTTTTTTTTTTACTTAACAATGCACATTCTTGTTCTTTCTTTGCCCCACAAAGTAGCCCCACCCATGACACAAGTTTTTGCAATCAAAATGTCTCCAGACCCTGCTAAACATCCCTCCCATTGAAAGCCACGTTCGTAGATGGAATAAATACCTCAATCTGGGGAAACATCTTTACAGGCTGCGGGTACAGAAGAATTTCTTTAAACACAACTTCAAAAACACAAACATAAGGCAAAATGTGGATCAATTTGATGACATCACTTAGGCAGTTGTATCGAGAATTAAACTGTAAGAGGGTAAGAGCTGAATCCAAAGGACCAACCAGGCAGTTCTTAAACTAATTTGGGGAATCCAAGGGCACACAGCAGGGAAATGGTGGAACCAGAATTCAAACCTGTAGTGTCTCATGTCATGCACACACTCTACCTCTGCTTAATATCCTTCTAGAGTGTCAACATAAGGAATATTGCAGGCTGGTAAAAGGCCTAAAAGAATTAAGTTGGCTCAAGTATTATCAAGTTTCCTTAAAAATAGGTTATGTGATGAAGTTCAGGTTTTATATTCAGAGGCTTCATAAAGTTATACACTTTCTGAAAAAAATACGATGGGAAGATCTGGGATAATGTGAACACATCTTTATACCAGGAGGAAGTGACTCATGGCTGATGGGAAAATTGAACGTTTTCAATGAATAGCAGAAAATCAGGTTAGAAGACGGAAGGGTAAAGCTATGCTTTAGTAGTTGTGTCATATAAAAATTGCAAAAGAGAGGCAGCTCTGGAGACCGTCTGAAGGAGGCTCACAGATGTTGACCCTGTTCAAATGCCACAGCCTTCAACCTGCCTGTTCAGTGGGCAGGGACGTTCGTGGCGCCTCAGCCAGAGGCCTCTGTGGTCATTAGAAGAGGGGATTCACCATCCTTCATTCTGTCCTGTGCATGCTCCACTACTCTGCATTTTATTTTATTATGGTAATAAACACACATTGTAAAATTTATTGTCTTACCCATGTTTAAGTGTATAGTTCAGTAGTCTTAAGCATATTTACATTATTTTGAAAGAGATCTCCACAACTTTTTCATCTTTTAGTGCTGGAACTATATATCCATTCAACAATTCTCTTTTCCCCCCTTCTCTGGAAACCACCATTCTATGAATCTAACTACTTTCTAGACCTCATATAAGTGATATTATGTAGTATTTGTGTTTTGTGATTGGCTCAATTTACTTGGGATAATTTTCACAAGTTTCATCTATGTTGCAGCATGTGACAGGTTTTCCTTGCTTTTAGGATTAAATAATATTCCATATTTACATATGCATACATATGTATATATAAAATATTCCATACGTGTGTGTTGCTTTCTACCTCTTACCAGTTGTAAACAGAATTGGTATGAGACCCCACTTTCAATTTTTTCAGATATATACCCAGAAGTTGGATGGCTGGATTGTATAGTAGTTCTATGTCCTATTTTTAATTTACTGAAGAATTCCCATACTGTTTTCCACAGCAATTATACCATTTTACAATCCCACCAACAATGCACAAGGGTTCCAACTTCTCTGTATTCTCGCCAACACTTGTTATTTTATGTTTTGTTTTATAGTGGTGTAAAATCAAGGAAAAATGACTGAGGCAAGTCTAGATCAATTTCGAAGTTTATTTTGCCAAGGTTAAGGATGCACAAGGGAAAAAGAGACACTAGCCACAGTTGGATCTGCAGCCCATACATTTGCCAAAGAAAGTTTGGAGACTTCAGTATTTAAAGGGGAAAGAGCAGGCAGTAGAGGAAAGAGGAAAGAAAAAGGAGGACAGTAGATAAAAGTGGTAATCGGTTGCATTCTTTTGAGGCTTTGATCACTGTTCACTGAATTCACATTTTACATGTGAAAAGAGGGGCTGGAGAAACAGTCAACTACACATTTGTGTGGCCTTCTCCTCAGTGAATCTGCATTTCTACATAAGATAAAGTAAACATAGAATAGAAGAAGCAGTCAAGTATGCATTTGTCTCAGGCAAGCAGAAGGATGACTTCCAATCTTATCCTTGTCCCTTACCTATGAATATAAGCTGTTGATTTACATTGTCAGGGTGAAATTCAACAGAATTTCTGTCTTAGAGTAAAAATCTTGGAGCCCACAAGGAATTTCATTGTAAGCAAATTGTGAGGGAGGTCCCCTGGGGAGGTAAGTGGCATTGCATCTTTGCAGCTATCTATTTGGAAACAAAACAAGAGGCAGTTTTGCACCATTCAGTTCCCAAACTTAATTCTTCTCTTTGGCATGGAGAGTTCGGGGGTGTCGAGATTTTATTTTCCTTCCACAGCAGCCATTGTAATGGGTGCGAGATATCTTGCACTTTTGAATGGCCATGGGTGCACAAGCAGGTCCAGATTCTGTATAGGAGAGGATTAGGGGTGCTTTCTGGTTAAAATAATGCTACATTTGCATCATACTTTATATAGCAGCTGAGAAAATGTAATTGTCCTTAACTAATATGGAGAGAATGGAGATTTCGTAGACCTTGTGAGGTAAGGTTTGGGTGGAGTGAAAGCCTATCACTGGCAAATGATGATTCCTAAGCAGGTCTTGTTGGCTTCGTGTTTTCTGTCATGTGTCCTTGCCATAAAATACTTTATTCCTGAATGTTTACAAGTTGAGCTTCTTTCTTCGTTGTATTATCTGGTGACCCAAATAAAAACTTCCACCTTTTATTTTTAATCATTTAACCAAAAACAATAAGCTTAGTGTCATGCTTGGAGCATTTTACTTCTGCTTTGGACAGATGTCATTTCAGCTATCACTCACTCTAAGATTTCAACCACCAGGTGGTGCCTAAGTGTTTATTAAAATCAGTTGTGTCTGCCCTGTTAGCCAAGTTTTAAGTTAATTTGCCTAATAAGTTATTTATGACTATATAGTCACAGCTACTGTATTAGTTTTTATCATTGCTGTGACAAATCACCAAAACTTATTGGCTTAAAATATCACAATGTGTTATCTTACAGTTTTGCAGGTTAGAAATCAAAAGTGGGCCTCACTGGACTAAAACCAAGGTGTCAGCTGGGCTGCATTCCTTCTGGATGCTCCAGGGAAGAATGCTTTTCCTTTCCTTTTCCAGTTTCTAATGGATACATGCATTCCTGGGCTCACAGCCCCTTCCTCCAAACTCAAAGCCAGCAGCAAAGCAGCTTTATATCTCTCTTGCCTCCCTCTTGCACTTATAAGAACACTTGTAATTATATTGGGGCTACCTGGATAACCCAGGATAATCTTACCCACGTTAAAGTCAGCTAATTAGCAAATTCAATTTCATCTGCAACCTTCATTCCCCTTTGCCATGTAACCTAACATAATCTCAGGTTTCAGGGCATGTCTATCTTCAGGGGCCATTACTTTGTCTACTACTGCTACCATAAGTTCTGGAACTTTTAACGTGTCTTGATTTTTTAATACTCTGCCCTGACATGCTAAAGTCAAACAGCATCAACATTTTTTTCTGGAGTATTCAAAGGATGGATGAATGGATGGATGGATAGATGATTTGATATTCAGACAAATGTGAGGTATTAATGTGTTTCACACATACAAATCCTATTTAACTTCATGACCTTCTCCTGCACCCCACTTGAGCTTATAGATATGAAGTGGACATTAATTCCAGCTACCATCATTACCAGGCTCAAACATCCAATTCCTAGCTTTTTAATTTTGAAAATATAAGTTTTTCAAACTTAAAACAAAAAGTTTTAAAATAATACTTGAAGATTTTTTTTTCCAGATTCAAAATGGGTTTTGGCATTCACAAAATAGGTTAGGATTCTCCTGGCTGTGGGGAGAGAAGACATGGAGAAGCAGGAAAATCATTTGCTACTGGCGAAGGTGTCTAAGACAGGTCCTGAGCTCTGGGGTTAGATCCCAGGTTGGCAGAGAGTGTAGGGAGAAAGCAGATGATAAGTTTGGGGAACCAAGAAAGGAGGAAACTTGTCCACACCCCTACCTGGGATTTTGGAATATAGCAGACAGACTCACAAACATTCAACACACTATAGTGGCAGGGGGTGTAGAGGGAAAAAGGCTGTGGGAGCTGTTAGGGGCAGAGAGGGATAAGCAACCTGACTGTGTTTCCCCTGACTTCAGAGAGACGTGAGATACCACCTGTATCCTCTCCACACACCTGAGAAAAGGACATGGAAGTTAGGAGAAAGAGAAGAGGAGAAAGAAGTAAAACAAGCCATTTGTCTAGATATAGTCATAGAAATCTTAGCAGATGCTGGGAAAGAGTGATGACTATCCCCAAAGACCAGATGGTACAGAGCCAGGGCAGATGCCCTCATAGAAACAGCAGCCCAAGATTTGAGACCTCCTTTATGCTGACACACAAAACTATGGAAGCCCCTAGAACTTAAATGGAATCTCAGGAAGAAAAGAGAGGGAGGGAGTAAGGAGGACAAATCCTGAACTGATTGAAATTCGCCTAGAGAAAATGAGTTTATTTTGAATGGGCTCAATTTATACATACATATATAATTTTGCTAAAGGTAAAGCAAGGTTTAAAATTAAGTTGAGATTTTTAAAAATTCTATTTCTTATACACATGAGTACATGGCTTGAGACTATATGTCTACTAAATACAGATAATGTCTACTAAATAGACAGATAAATAGAACTATTAAGCCATACACCTCAATTTTTTGCTCAAAACTATGCAATCATATTAATGTACTAGGTGAAAAATGATATACTTGAGAAAGCTTTGTGCATGTTAGAAAACCTAAATTTTGATTCTCAGTCACTAGCCCCAATTTTCTATCTATAACCTTTACCCTCTTCCTCATAGAAATAAGTGTTGATGTTTATGTGCATTTTTCCATATTTAATGGGCAATAAATACCAGTCACAAAGTCAAGAAGTTATTTGGGTGAGTATATGTCTAATACCATAAATCTAAAAATCTGAATTATACAATGTATATTGTGTAAGAATCTTAATCTTAGGCCTCTCCACAATTGCTCCACTAATAAAATACAATAAAAACTTAAAGGGTGAATATCAGGATTATCATTTGGTGTAGGGTATCAGCATTTGGTACCCAGCCAAAGACAAGCTCAAGTAAAGTATTTACTAAGATTAGTAATAGTATGGCTCTCTGAATTGGGAGCTGGGTGCTACTTTGAGCCTCTCCCACATAGGAATAACTGCTGGCCTCTTCAGCATAGGAATAAAGCAAGGGTTTCATTTATCCAAAGTTAATCATGACTTAATTTCTAGTTCCTACAGTGACACCATAAGCCTCACAGTAGTGTAGGGACACTAGAGAGGTTCTCAAGGCATTATGGAGGTGCTGACTACAAAATAGGAAAATAAGGCTTGGAAAAGCTTTTTAACAAACTCAGTCTCTCTCTCTCTCTCTCTCTCTCTCTCTCTCTCTCTCTCTCTCTCATTTTTAAGGTGTTGTTTGTGCATAAAGAAATAAACACAAGGCAATACTAACAAGACATGACTTCTGTGAGCTACAGTGAAAAGAATGAAACCCTTACTCATAAATTAATCATAGAGGGAAGCTCTCCAAAAACTACACAGATATAACTCTTAGCAACTCTGTTGTCACCCACTCCTAACTCTGGCTGACAGCAGATTGTAGAGTAGTTAAGGGTCATTGTTGAACAAGTCTCAGTTTTAATCTAGTAAAGAAAACAGAAACTTGAGAAATTAGTCAGAGAAAAGTATGTCCTATGACATCCTAATTATTCATTATTTATTCAGATAATTAAATGACGTAAGAATAGTAGGACAAGAAAAATAAAGATGTGAGTATTCAAAAATAGAGGGCTGTCTTTATTCATTTAACACTAGATTGTATACATAGAAAAATCTACAGATAAGAGATTAGAAAATATAAGTAAATTTAGCAAGGCTGCTAGATGTAGGAGCAATACACAAAGAAGGAAATTTTTTTCTACATAACAGAAAAACAATTAAAAACGAATACTTTTAAAATAACAAAAATATCAAAAAACACCAAATACCTAAAAGTGAAAAATATACAAGACACAGAGAAAACTACAAAACATGTGGAGAAATTAAAGAAAACCCATTGACCAAAAGACTAAGATGGAAGGGTAAACTATGTTGATGAATTAAAGACAAAAATCTGCAAAGATATTAACTTCCTACAAATTCAATTTAATTCCAATCAAAATTCAGCAGATTGTTTTTGTGTATATTGACAAACTGTATTTAGACTCATCATTGCATAAGGTTAGGCTTAGGACAGCAAAGTTTTAAACCTAACTCTGCCTCTTTAGGCTCAGGACAGCAAAGTTTTAAACCTAACTCTGCCTCTTTCTATGTGACCCAGACCAACCGACTTCACCTATCTGAGTCTCACTTTCCACTTCTATTAAAGTGGAGATAATAATGTCTCCCTCACAGGACTCCTGTGCAGATAAAATTGGCAAGTTAAATAATGTTTTTCAGTTATCTACTCCTCATATTTCCTATTTGTCTCTCTCCTTCTGTAAACTATAAGCTCTTTGAAGACAGGGACTGGGTTTTGTTCACAATTAAAAGTCCAGCGAAGATGCTCAATAAATTTTGCATCAATAAATGTGTTTTGAAATATACAATAAGAAACAGATGGCATTTCAAGCAAATATTGTGCAAGAAGGAGCTCCTGTAGGAGATAAGAAGGGTTTCCTAGTAAGTGGGCAAGTATGTGATTAAGGTATCTGGGAGCAGACTCCTACTCAAGTCAGGGAGGGATCTGGGAATCAGTCCCTGGGGAAAAGGAAAGACTGGAGCAAAGTGAAGGCCCAGATTTATATGGACTTAAAATCAGAAAGGAGGATCAATACATGGCACAGAGTCGCTATTAGGGCTGGTACAATATGGAAAGTTGGCTCCAGGAGAATGGTGGAAGCCCTGTTACAACTGGGGCACATGATCAAAAAATAAGCAAGGAGTTTCATTAGATATTGAATCACTCAGCTCATAATGAAAAAGACTTCTTATACTTCCTTCTGAAGGTCAAAATCAGTCCTAAAGCCTAAGGCGAGGTTGATCCTGAAGTTTAAGTGAAGTGAACTTCACTAGGGAAAAACATTTCTTCAGAGATTGGGGTCTAAGCAGAATCATTACATATTGGAGACCCTTATATACACATTGATTAAAACATAAAAAAAAATGAAATAATTGTTTTCTTTAACCCTATTGGGGGGACTTTTTATGTGCAGGTCTTCTCCACTTAGCTCCCTTTGGTGACAGGGCTGGACAGCAGCAGCAGGGGATGGAAGAAAGAAGCAGCTCTTCCTTGAAATCTTCTGAGACCTCAACAGAGGAAGCTTATGGGAATGGACAGGAAGCTGGACTGAGCTCACTTGCCTAGAGGACTATTCCTATGTGGAGTGAGCAGCTACCCAACTCCCAGAGCCCAGACGGGCTGAGTAGCCAGGGCTTGACTGGCCATGAGCACTGCCTAAGGGGTCTAGGATACTTCACAGGGTACAGTAGCCAGACCAGGAGTGGGTGGTGACAAGTGATCTCAGGGGGCTGACCAATGGAGCAAGGTCCAGCCAGAGCATGGGACAGCATCCAAGAACCAAGCTGCCCAGAGGAGGTGTGAGAGCTCTGGTCTTACAAGGTACAACTCAGATCAGGACACTAACCACAGCATGATAGCTGTTTAGTAAACCAGACCCTGCCAATACAGGAGATAAAGGAAACAACAACAGGCTGAAGACACCCAGAACCCCTGGCTCATCTTCATCTCACCTAAACCAGGTTGATGGTAGCAAATCCCAGGTCCTAATCACTGCTGTGCATGAAACTCTGAGCATGCTTTCCAAATTATTGGCATTGGCTCAAAAATGGGCAAAGCTGAGCTGGTAAGTAAAAGGCCTCATTATAACAGTGCAGAAGCTAGGAGGTAAGGGCTAAGGTGAAGATTCTAGGCAGACAGCATGATTCAGAGGTGACTCAAGTAGACTGTAGTAGGAAACCTTAAGCAGGAAGCCTTGAGTCTGCAGCTTAAGCCACTGCTTCAGTGTCTACGGTGAAAGATTCACTTATATTTGAAACACTTTTCTTTAAAAAACAGAGAGCAAAGATTAGACAGGAAATAACCAAGAAAGACACGTGACCTTACCCCAGAAAGACAAAGGTGTTCTTGTGGATCCCAGGTGCCTGGTCCAGCCCCATTCACCAAGACTGACTTCCTCATAGGAATATTATTGCACTAAGAAGTCCTTGTGAAAAAGAGACATGATTGAAACATCCTCTCTGCAGTTTTTCTTTGTGACAACAGCAGATCAGGGACTTGGAGATTCAGGATTGATTGCAGCCCATTTTTCCACTCTGTCCATGGTGAGAGGTGAAGAAAGAGATGGACAGAAGAGTTATGACTTACATGACTGGTGGTACTCAGGTGTTCTCAGAGCTCAGAACATATTCCAGAGCCTGATTTATTTCCTGATTTCTTTACAATAAATCACTCTGAAAACCAAGAACACTAGAATATAGACTGCTTGTACACTAAAATCAGAGCTCCTTTGGAAATGGGTGGCCCATTCCTGGGAGGAACAATCATATCTCAAGGTGCATTTATCCTGGGTAGCCACATCAGCCCTGTGTTTTCTCTTTACATAGTTCCAGTAGCCTGCAAGGTCACTGATGGGTAGCTCTCTAATAATGGCTTAGTAACTCAAAATATTTGGATCCCAGATTTATTTGGCTGCTATGTGGCTTATTTTTTTTAAGTGAGCCCTACTTCCATTGAGCACATGTTCTCTGTCAGAAAATTTTCATAAACATACAGTCTATCGTGCAAAACATCAGACTATCAATTACTTCCACTTACTCTGAGCAAAGAATATCATTAGTATACCAAAAAAAATAGTTTTCTATGAATGGCATCCTTGTTCACATTCCCTGAAGAGCAGAATCTGAGATGGAGGTTTGTTTGCATAAAGTTTATTGGGGAGTATTTCTGAGGGGGAATGAAAGCAGCCAGATTGGGAAGAAGGAAGAGATGAACTATGAAGCAATGAACAGTGGCCTCTGCTGATCCCACAGGAAGCTCTGGAGCTGAGTGGTCCTTCAGAAATGTTCCAAATTGAGCAAGGCCTTTATGGTTAATGTCATTCAATCATTGCATGCAAGCTGACCTTGGCATGATATAGAGAGAGGCAGTTTACTTCAGTTCTTGGAGGACAATGCTTAGGGTGTGATGTGGTTTGTCCCCACCCAAATCTCATCTTGAATTGTAGCTCTCATAATTCCCACGTGTTGTGGGAGGGACCCAGTGAGAGGTAATTTAATCATGGGGTGGGTCTTTCTGGTGCTGTTCTCATGATAGTGAATAAGTCTCATGAGATCTGCTGGTTTTATAAAGGGATATTCTCCTACACAAGCTCTCTTGCCTGCCACCATGTAAGACGTGCCTTTGCCTTCAGCCATGATTGTGAGGCCTCTCCAGCCATGCTGAACTGTGAGTCAATTAATCTTCTTTCCTTTATAAATTACCCAGTCTTGGGTGCAGCTTGAGAACAGCTGTAAGCCATTAGCCAGCAACACTCCTGGCAGCTGGGGGAATGAGTGACTTGATCCTGAAAGGAAGGTCATGGTAGTGCCTCACCACATCCACTGTAATTGGTTTCTTCAAGATAGTTGCTTTGAGAATATAAACGGATGGCCATTTTCACAACAAACTCCTTGCAGTACAACACTGCATCATGTTTGTCTTTATAACTACTACACTATACTAGCTGCTCTGATGCTTTTTGCAAATAGCTAACTTCAACAAATATTTAGATTGGAATTGCCTGAAATAAAATCCACCCTATTATTGGCCTATTATTTTGAAAATGGAAATAAAAGACCCCACAGTGGAGCTAAGAATAAAAAGCTTGTTTGTGCAGACTTGTAATGATAATAATGCATTGTATCCAACTTTTGTTCCAATAAATAAATACATATTCTCATGAAGAATTTCATTCATCTAAAAATATCTCTAGGCATGTATATTAGCTTGCTAGGTTAGCCATAACAAACTACCACAGGCTGGACAGCTTAAAACATAAATTTGTTGACTGGGTGTGGTGGCTCACGCCTGTAATCCCAGCACTTTGGGAGGCCAAGGCAGATCATCAGAGGTCAGGAGTTCAAGGCCAGCTTGGCCAACATGGTGAAACCCTGTCTCTACTAAAAATACAAAAATTAGCCAGGTGTGGTGGCAGGTGCCTATAATCTCAGCTACTTGGGAGGCTGAGGAAGAAGAATTGCCTGAACCCAGGAGGCAGAGGTTGCAGTGAGCCAAGATTGCGCCATTGCACTCCAGCCTGGGTAACAAGAGCGAAACTCTGTCTCAAAAACAAACAAACAAAAAAAACCATAAATGTATTCTCTCATAATTCTAGAGGCTAGAAGTCCAAGATCAAGGTGTTGGCAGGGTTGACATCTTCTAAGTTCTCACTCCATGGCTTGCAGATGGCTGTTTTCTCCCTGTGTCTTCACATGGTCTTCCCCCTGTGCTTTTCTGTCTCCTAATCTCCTCTCCTAATAAGGACATCAATTACATTGGATAAGAGCACACCCTAACAGCTTCACTTTAATTTAATTCCCTCTTTAAAAGCCCCATCTGCAAATGTAGGCACATTCTAAAGTGGTGGGAATAAGAACTTCAACATACAGATTTTGGAAGAGACATAATTCATCCCATAACAACATATGGGAAGGGTTCATACTGTAAATACCATTTTAGAGATAGAGAAACCAAGATGGAGATGTTGAATGTCTTGAGGCATAGGTCATGTTACCTATCCCAAAGGCTTATCTTCTTAATTTTAATACAACTGTAGGGACATCGCTCCAGCTAGAATTTTAGCATTCAGAGAGCGAGCTCTTACCACTAATCTCCCCCAGAACTTTCTTTGCGTTGAACAATTAAGTTACTAAAGTCATTCAAGAATAGAATTTGTCTTCTCCACAACTGGTTCCTCTGAAAATTAATATTATCCCATATAAGGTTCATTCTCTTGAACCAGTTTCAAGACCCAGCTATCTATCTATATATATTTTTTTTTCCTGAAGCAGATCCTTGCTCTGAAACTCTTTCCCTTTTCCTATCCTGAACCAGTCCTAATCACTAGAAGGACATTTGGAGGTTTCTTCTAACTCTTGCTCTCAAGCCTAATAAAAGTCTTAATACATAAGTCCTTGATTCCACTTCTCTAGTACTACCACCATCCCCTCATCCCCAGAAAAACAGACAGATGGGGAAGGGGGACTAACATTTCTCAGGTATCTACCATGTGTTAGACATGAGGGCAGGTGCTTTCATAGATAGCTTCTTTACTCTAAGCCATACCATAAGGTGTGTTTTATATTATCATTTTATAGATGAGCATTTAGACTAAATATTAGGCTCCAAGAGCCTAAATACCTTGCCCAAGTCACCCGTTGGAAAGTGGAAAGGACAGAACTGAAATGACAGACACACCTGACTCTCCAAAACCTAGCTTCTTTCCATTGGCCTATACCGCTTATGTATGACAGGCATCACAGAACCAAGCCCCAATCCAGCCAACTCTCCCCAAAAGTCCCCAGGCCCAAAGGTGTAGATGTTCATCGTCTTTACTTCCTGACTTCCATACCCCATTTATGTGTCTGAAAAAAGGTTCTATCCACTGTCTTAAAATACCCATATCATATAGAAGGGTGGCACTCTTCTGCACATGCTTGATTGTTTCTTGTTTAATGAGCTTCAACATTCTTCATTTGTTTTATCAGCTAAAGTCTTTTCTTTGCCAGCTCATCACATCCTGCACTGAGGGCTGTTAAATCTTCACAGGCCGTCTCCCAGAGGAAGTTGTGGGAATTGGGCAGAATGAGAGCTCCTTTCTCCTGTTGCCTCTTTCAGGGGTGCCCCTCAGTGACTGTTTCCCCAAGGTCCTGTAACTCTGAAAACCAGTTCTCCACTCCCCAGGCAGATTGCTATCCCTCAAACAGCTGGATTGCAAAAACAAAGCTATGTAAAAGCTGCCCCTTCTGTTTGCGATACAAACTTTCAGCCAGATATGCCAATGGAATGAATGAAATGGGTGAAGAGATGACAAAATACCACCTGGCCACAGTATGCACGTAAAAATGGATTTCTTTTTAAAGAATGATATCCTTTAGATGTTTGTCCCCTCCAAGTCACAGGTTGAAATGTGATCCCCAGTGTTGGAGGTGGGCCCTAATGGGAGGTGTTTGGGCCATAGGGATGGGTCGCTTACAAATAGCTTGGTGCCCTCCCCATAGCAATAAGTGAATTCTCACTCTATTAGTTCACATGAAAACTGATTGTTAAAAAACACCTGGTGCCTCCTTCTCTCTCATTTCCTCTCTCACTATGAGATACACCTGTTCCCCGTCCCTTATGCCAAGCTTCCTGAGGCCTCACCAGAAGCCCAGCAGTGCTGGCACCATGCTTGTAAATAGCCTGCAGAAGCGTGAGCCAAATAAACCTTTATTCTTTACAAATTACCCAGTCTCAGTAATTCCTTTATAGCAATGCAAAATGGACTAATACGAAGGGCTTTAATGGAACCACAACCATTGAGTCATTGACTTGTAACATTTACCAGGAGGGAGAAATCCATAGCAATAAAATTTGCCTTTAAATGAGTGGCTCAGGGCTGAGGTATTTCTGCCTAGGGTTCATGCCTGGATACTGGAATCACAGCAAGATAGTCATCCAAGAGCCTGGGCAGTGCCTTCCTAACAGATAGCCCCTTCACTCCACCCTGTCATCCTCTCCACATTTCTCTGAGTCTTTGGTTTCCTTAATAGGACTAACCATTGTTCTCCAAAACAGAAAGCTGTGCAGTAAGCAGTATTTATTATCTTTACTGTCACATACCAGATCCAGCCCCATCACCCCCACCAGGTATGCTAGGCCTTCCAGAATCTGACCCACTCTCCTTCTATGGCCAGCATGGCCTCCACTTTGGTTAGGCTGCTCTCTGCATGGTCTCCCATGAGTACTTCCCTCTCTGAAGTGCTCATGCTCTCCTCCGGACCTAGAATAAGCATCTGTTCAAATCCTTTCCAGCCATTAGGCCCAGCTCAGGTTCCACTCGCTCTCAGACCACCATCCAATTCCTCAATTCTCTGATATATTCATTGCATCAAGTCTTTGTGTAATAATTCAATATTAGATAAAATTGTTTTATATCATCTTTTTCTGTGGATAGATATTTGGTCACAAGCAGAAGACTAAGAGAGACTTCATTTTCTCCACTCGTACCCCTCAATGTAGGCACATACAGTAAGAAATCAATAACTATTTATCTGAATTAAACCTATTGAGCAAGAAGTTTCTCTTTCTTTGTTCTTCCACTTAGAAAGGTTTTCTTTTCCCCCATTTTCAAAGACTAACTGAATCAGAATCTCTGGGGGTAAGGCTCAGGGTTTCATGGTTTTAGAAGCTTTCTAGGTGGTTTTTAATGCATTTCAGTGCTGGAACTCACTATTCTTTATGGTGGTTTACCACGAAATACAGTCAGTTCTGCTATAATGCTTGTTTTGAAAACAAGAATTTGTTCTAACTGGATGGATATATTAGGGAATAATTTGAACATAACATGAATTTCATGTTTGCTAATATGTGGTACCATCTTCAAGAAACATTAGGTGAACCCAGAAAACTGTATGTACATGAATCAAGCAATGTAGGTGTATACAAAACATGCACACACTCACCCACACACACACAAACTTCAACCATCTACCAGCTCTCTCAATGCACTGCATGTGTTATAAGCTACACCAATTTACTTCTGGTGTTACAACTTTCTATCAATGTCAGATAACCTTCCTTCACAATAACTAACAACCTGCAACCTTTTTGACAGCTACTTCCAAAAGCAAATTTCAGATCTTCTTCAATGGAAAGTGTGTGTGTATATATATATATAGAGAGAGAGAGACAGAGAGAGAGAGTTATATTTATATGTTTCTTGACCATTTAGTATGAGTAAAACTGTGCTATAATTTTTATTCAGTTATCTTTTTTAATGTGTCTCTGACAAAGTTTTGCCACGTCTTATCTCTAATCCATTTTCCCCATAAGCTCTGTGGTTTTTATTGCCTATTTTGCAGAGCGAGGTGATTTTTAGAAATGCATATGTGGCCTTATTGCAGAACTGACTGCACCTAGTACTATATTTCTCTTACTATGTGCTACAAAGATGGAAAGCTTTGGAAAATATGGAAAAGAAAGACTAAATGGTATTAGCATATGGAAATCATAAATTTGGCCTCGTTACAGTACCAAATAAATCTACTCAACCAAAGACAATTATTTGGCTTAGAATTGCATAATGCTCAGGAATTTCTGGATTGAGAGAAATAAAAGTTGTTTTTATAGTGGCAAGAGTCAGGAAGGAAATGTGGATTAATAAATTAATGCTAAGGAACTTTCATACATCTAAAAGTTAAATTCATGTCTCTCCAATGAACATTTTATTTTCATTTTTATGAGAGGAGAAAAATTTGCAACTGACCTAGAATTTTCACCCTTTAAATAATTACTATTAGGTTGAAACCAAATCTTATCTTGTTTCTAAACCAATACTAAAAGTTCTGACATGCCCCTGCAAAGAGATATTCATTGAGTTGTTTTGTTGTTTTATGAAAAAGCGTGACCACTAACTGGCTTTTATGACTTCCACAATTTGAACAAAGTGCATTTAGTTTGAAACCAAGTCTTATCTTGTTTCTAAACCAATACTAAAGGTTTTGACAGGAGCCCTGCAAAGAGATATTCATTCAGTTGTTTTGTGGTTTGTTTTATGAAAAAACATGACTACTAATCGGCTTTTACGACTTCCACAATTTGAACAGAGTGCTCTACCCACACAAATGTCCTTCTTCAGTACTGAATGCCTCACTATAAAACCAAACTGGTGATAGAAATTTCACTGAGAGTCCCTGAAAGACACTAGAGCTCTTTGCTAAATATTTCCAGGTTCCCGCCCTGTGAACACATGGCAGGCTTGCATTCTCAGGCCTCCTGTAGGTACGGTCAATGCACTGAGGTGGATTGATAGCAGCACTGGTACCCAAGAATGTGTGGTACCAACGGAGAAGCCCATCTCAAATGAACTCACACATGCGCAAGTTGTGAAAGGTACATATATTCGTTTATGTCTAAAATAACAACCAGAATCTTCTTTATATATAGTATTTTTAAAAGACACATATACACAAACACAAACATGTGCAGTAAACTCAAACACACAAACAGTAATACCTACAAGAATTTTTTTTTCCTGTTTCACAAATAAGGAAACTTGGATCCTAGAAGCTAAATTAGTTTACTCAAGGTCTAAAATAGACTAAAATAATCAGCATATTAAACAGTTCTCTTGCTTTTCTTCCGTTCCCTATCTTTAGGAAACGTACCATGACTTAATTGTCTCCAAAGTAGACTCATTCTTCCTCCTGCCAACCCACACTCCCACTCCCACCCCCAACCCTACCCCTAAAATTGGATCGAACCCTCACTGTCCAAAGTACCCAGGATCCACGCAGAGTGATGGAGGACTGAGCTATGGAGCCACAGAGCAGGCCTCAGGAGTGAAAGACGACCAAGCCCAGCAGGGCCCTACAGCCCCCAGCTGGCCAGGGAGACCATAAAATGGCTTGCAGATTGACTCTTAATCTAGTCAAGATTGACCAAGAAGCCAGCCTCTTGCAGGGCACGGGTAGGTTAAGGGGTCCATAAATCATGCTCCTTAAAGCCCAGTCAGCAAATGTTATCCTCAGTTTTTCTTCGGCCGACCAAGAGCTTGGGAGTCACTCCTGACAAGAAGAGAAAGTCTTCCAAGGAAGCATGACCATTCCTCCTCACTCCAGCCTGCTTTCCATGGCCTCTTTCTCCTGGATCTCCCCTCTTGGTCTCAGGACATCCATGAGAAATGGGGCAGCCTGGGAAATATGGTTGAAAAACAATTAATAGCAAGAATAATAGCTTGCATTGGGTTTTTAACGTGTTAGCTCATTTAATCCTGAAACTATCCTGGGAGGCATGTACTATTATTAACTCTGCTTTACAGAAGACGAAATGAAGCACAGAGCCGTTGAGTAATTTCCTCAAGGTCAGACAGTAAAAAGGCGATTCTCCCAGCTGCAATTTTTGGTGCCCTTTGCCTTCCCTGGGCTGCTCCTTCCACCCTAAACTCGGTGCTCAGTGCCCTCTCTCCCGCTCTGCTGTCTGAACTTGGATTCTAGAATGCCTCTGCTGCTGTGAATTTACATTGTAAACCGTGTTGCTTCCCTCCGGGTATATGCTCAACCAGTCTCATTTATTATTGTGGAGTGAAAAACTCTGTATCCTTTTAGTGATAAACCAATACTAAACAGGCATAAACAAATACATGCAAGACACTGGAGGAACCCAGAGCCTTCCTGGTGCCCCTGGAATCTAACAGCCAGCTTGTCCTACCCTTGATATGAACAACAGAAGGTGCTGTGGAGCTGTGGCCGCCAACAGAATGCCGTGGCCCTCTCTCCCCTGCCTCCCAGAATGGGGTTCCCAATGAGAATCTATACCCAAAGCTAAGTTCCCTGTTTCTCCACCTCTGCAGTCCTCCTTCCCTGACCCTGGGACCACCTGACAGACCTGTCTCAACCCTGTTTCTAAGAACAATTCTGACCTGCGATCATTGGGATATGAGGAGTGTCCCCCAACACTGGAAGCCTCAATTCTCCTTGCAAGTCCAGTTCTGACCTCTCGACCCATTTCCCAGAATTCTGCCTACCTCCTGAGACCATGTCAGCCTTCGATCCTCTATTCTTGGTGAAGGTCTGGAACACTGCCTTCCCTCGTGGTTCAGCCCTGCCCTGGACCACCACCTCTCCTGGTGCTTACCAAACACCCCCAGTGTGCCTGGGGTTTTGCCCTGAACACTGTGTGTGGGGCCCCTGTCTCCGCTGAGAGACCCCCTGGTGCTGCCACCCTCCACTCTGGACTTTGGAGGATCATCTAGTGTGAATTTCTTAGCCCTGTACTGTAATCTTTGTTAGGTCCCCAACATGGTCTACCATGATGCCAGCTGCAATTATAGAGCCCTTCTGGTACCATGTGTGTCCAGATGTGAAAAGCATAGTCCCCAATACTGAGAAAATTCAATAGGCACAGAGCCACTTGCAAGGGATATGCTAAAAGAATCCAGTCCTCAGTTCCTCGCCTACCTCATGTAGCTTCAAAAATACAGCAACTTGATAGAGAATTATGTGATGAAGACTTCTTCAGAGAGTATTGTAAGGGCATTCCACCTCCTTCCTGGACTTCCTTCTAATACTGGCAGACTCCTTTGTACATCCCCAACCCTAGTAAGTAGTGTAGCTCCTGATCTTGCCTTCTACTGTGTTTCTCCAACTTAGACTACAGCCAACCTAGGATCCCCAACCAGGTGGAGATAAGGCCTTCACTACGCACTTCTTCTCTTGAAAGGCTGGACACAGTATCCCCCAAAGGCAGGGCCCCCTCCACCTGAGACAGTCTGATAAACCTAAAACAAGCGGTTCTTTAAGTAGGACCTTAATAGAAAGGCCAGCTGTGTTTTTAATAGGTCATTTGAATTAATGACTCTCTATTAGTGGCAAATTAAGAAACGTTATAGCGATGTTTCATCCCCGAGGAAGCTGACAGACTAGGAAATGGGCAGCGAGCAGAAGGGTCAACTTTTGTAAAGGTCTCCTATAAAATTCCAAATAGGAGGACAATTATTAAAGATAACAGGCCTGTGTTTTCCTCTCCCCGTTTTCCCAGCACTAACACATGCCACTCCATGTATATGACACAGCCCTCCACCTCTCTCTCCCTCTCCCTGCGACTGTATGTCAGTATCCCATACCAGCACAGCATATGGTTTGTAGGGTCTGTAACATGGATGTCCCTTAAAGGTTTTTCCAACTCAGAGTGTCTTTGGTTCCATGAGACTCAGCCCCTTGTTTTGGCCCATTGCTCAATATATGGACCATGACTTAGAAAGGGAAAGAAATATAAAAAGGATGTGGCTGCTGCCAAATGGTATTTTGTTTGAAAGTCTGAAACTCTTCTATAACAATGCAGAAAGGCCACGAAACCTCTCCAAGCAAACCCATTCCCAAGGTTGATCATCCCTGCCCACATTCCCCCAGTACCTCTCAGGCTTCTGGCTGCCATTTTGTGACTTATTCTCCTGCTTCCTGGCTGCCTAATGTGTGTTCTCCCCTGGTTTCACCTGTGTAGAAATATGTCTCAGGGGTTGGCTATAAGTAGGTAGCTAATTTGCCGCAACCCCACCCATACCCCCTTAGGAATGATTCTGGGTTCCACTTCATTAAGAAAGACAGACCTGTTGCTTTGTAATTCCAATCAATCAAGTGTTCTTTTTCAACAATGGGGCTATTATGAGTGTTATTACTCACTGACAAGATGGAATTAAGGTATGTGAGCACTGTAGACAGCAGGTGTGATGGGTTTGGTCATGTAAGCTGAGATGACATAGGTTTTACAGAAAATGTACATATTTTCATTTATGTGCTAGACAATAAAGATGTTTCCATTCTTTGAAAAAGATGTCCCCCTCTTCCCCTCCCACCTCATTCTGGCAGCACGTAGCAGGCAATAGTGTGGTCACAAGGGGCATTGGTGGATTGACACAAATTGCAAGTGAAATTTCTCTTTATATTTTTAATACTCACATTTCATCCTTGACGATTCATTAATTTAGATCCATTGGTTGGGCCTAGTGATGCATTCTAAGTGGGGGAAAAATAACAGTAGTGGTAATGAGTAATTATATTGACAAAATGTATATCCCTCTCTAGAGATAAATATGTGAAAATGAATACATGAAAAGGAGTACCCACACTGATATAGCTACACAGAAGTAAATTATCATATTTCACTGAATCTAAGTGTAAGCTACATCGTTATTTTTATGTTCTGCTAAAAAATAAAAAGAAACAAAACTTTCCAACTAAACTATGACATGCCATTGAATATAAGATACATTCCAATTTCAGAAACGTTAAAAGACGAAGAAAATGCCTATCTTAGAATAGATAAATTATGATACTAAAAGTCCCACTCAATGCTATCTAAATATAAATGGTAGTTATCAATGTATCCAAAAAGTTTTCGTTTTTAAGGAAGGGGCTCCTAATGTGAATCTGTAGGTTAAACAAATAACTTCTAATTAATAAAGTAGTATCAGCAATTTTACTTGGTGCCTTAAGAGACTGATAGCCAGGCCCAAAGTCTTCAAGATCTCTAAATACATAGATACTCCAATCCAAGAGAGTATGGTTTACTCAAAAGAGTCTCAAATAAGGAGAATGGAAAGAGATTTTAATGCCAATTGCTCCCTGTTGTGATTCTGCTACTGATTAGCTGGGTGGCCATGTGCCCATCCCATAAGTATTCTGGGCTTTGATTTCCATACCTGTAAAATGAATGGGTTGGACTAGAATCTCATTTCTAACTCATTTCTCATTTCAGCGCTCTCACATTTTACCAATCTGTGATCCTGAGTTCATGTGGTCCCATCTTGATGGGTTCAAATGTCAAGCTGAAATACATCCAATGTGAAACATTCCCTTGAAGGGTATATTCCACTGACCTTCAGTTTTAGCAGAACACTCCAAATTTACCGAATGAAGAAATGAATGAATGAAGTACGCTTTATTGATCCTCTTTGCCCACAGATCCTGAGTACTGAGCTATGGTATTTGTCTCTGCATAACCGGCAAGGACACGGACTCTCCAGGGCTGAGACTAAAAGGGGAAGGCTTACCTCAGCTGCCCTCGATTTCCCCTTCAGTGAAGACATCCTCATCCTCAAAGCATCTCTTATCTAAAGAAGCAATGACAATGAGAAGTACCTCACAGATGTTGGAAGAAACAACAGAATTGCCTGTCCTGAAACTTTAAGACCAGTAACCCTGGCAGAAGCAATATCAGAGGACTTAGCATAGTGACTGGCAAGTAACAAGATTTGGATAAAAGCTAGGGTGTAATTATAATTAGATTTGGGATTTGGTATTAGGACTAAAATTGTGATTATGATTTCCATTCTTTTCACCAGCAATACTTGCACACAGCCTCCTGTTGACTTGATAAAGAGCAAGAAATGACAGAATATTGGTGTGTTTTTTTTTTCTTTTCACAGCTGATTCCTTGAACCATCCTCACAAACTCAACTCCCCTGGAGTATGCTCTCCAATCAAAACTGCTTCATCCTCCTGCTTCCCCCAGCCACATGAAAACCATTTATAAGGAGGAAGCAAATTCAAATTACCTTGTGATCCATAATGGTTCCAAACAGCAGGATGAAAAAACCCTGTGGCAAAATTGAACAGATTCATGAGGGATGGTTTTTCAAAAAATATTCCTGCTGTTATTTTCATACCGCTCTTCTAGATACCTCCTAGGGCAGTTATTGGACATTAGAAAGTTCAGTTTCCACTAATGCAGATAAAAATGCACTGATGGGTGTTCCTTTGAGTCTGCCCCCACCCTTGGAAGAGGATCATCACCCACAAAGGAATGTGCAGGAGGGTTATTGATATTTATTGAATGGCTGTAGATGTAGGATAGTTTTCAGCCTTATGCAGTTATGTTACTTTCTTCCCAAATATTGAGGTAGCTGTTTCTACTCGTGATGACAGAAACATGTGACAGAAACTTGTAATTCAAAATCACAATCATGGAAGGTGTCTTAAGAAAACGAAACTTATATTCTAGTCTACTTTGAGTTGGAGTTAAAAGTCAGTAAATAGACAGCCAAGGCCTCTAAGCTGGTGGAAAAAAAAAACATTTCTACATAAAAGAAAGAGAATGCTACAGAGATTTATAAGGCTAGGGTCTTTTCACTATCAATCTAAGGAGAGTTCATGGTGAAGAAACACTCATCAGATTAAAATTTTAGGAAGAGCTTGCTGAGAAAGGAGAAATGTATATAACTAAAAGCATTTGGGTATTTTTCTTTCTATCAAGAAGAGAGAAACACAAATGAACTGAAAAAGAAATACAGAGCAAAATTTCCCAGGGTTTAATTAAATTGCAAAGTAAGAAAGGATGAGATCATTACTCACCAGAGTAACTTCAAGAGTGGGGAAATTTATCAAAAGTCCCAGAGTCTTTGATAAAAAAAAAAAAAAAATCCCTCATGTCAAAGATTTCACTGTAAAGCAATGCAACAGAAAGAGTATAATAAATGTGCTCTATAGTTACTACAGAATTATGGGTAAGATATATAATTGATCTGAGTTGGCATTTCTTTAAAGTCTGCTTTCTATTTTGTATCATGCTTTTAAACAGAATGATACTGACATGTTAATAGGAATACTTTGATGTTTAGTTACATTATTTAAAAGAGTAGTGGGGAACATTCTACTGCAAAGAACCAAATAGTTGAGGCCCAGAGAAAAGTGGCATTCCCAAGATCAGCTAACATATGGCAAGATCTGTTTCTATAAATAACAATTTATTTTTATTTCACAGGGACTAGCAGGAAAGAGGTATGAGAACTCCTGACTGGCTAACACCCAAAGTGAGTGGCAAGGCCCATTACTTCATAATATAGAAAGTGACTGTTATCTCACTGAGTTCCCAAACCACTGGATAAAGGATAAAAAATATGCTTGTTTTGAGGCATAACATGTAGCCTCACATATCCCTGACCAAAGAATAGTCCTCTATAAGTGAAGGTTAGCTTCTTCTAACATTGAAACTTTAGTAGGGATACAGGTGCATCAGTGAGGAAAGAAGGAAGGAGATTTCCACCCAACCACCCTGGTCAGCTAAATTCAACTTGACAATCAATACAGTCACAGATGCCATAGCCAAATAACCCTAAGATGTAAAAGGAAGTGGAGAGAACATTTTGTGTTATATAATTTCAAATCATAGCCATTTTTTTGTGGTCTAGTCGGAGTAACACAGAAAAGTCTCCCTCTTGGAACTTACCTGGAAAGCATTGAGCAAGGCAAAAATTATATGGAACGTCAAGGAAGTGCCTTCTATGAGAGTGGCTATTCCAAAACCCCAGGTCAGTCCCAGCAGTGGAGTGAGGATGGCAACATTTTTGCTGATCCTCATAATTATGACCACATCCTGAGACTTGGAACTGCCAATAGAGGGCCTCTGAGTGTTGACAGCAACAACCAAAACCACAATCAGATTTACAGCCACAATGACGAACGCCGGGATGGCAAATGCTAAAAGGGCTTTGGTATTGTCCCAGTTAAGCCAACAGGCCTCAGGTCTCATGTAGCCTTTCTCTGGCTCTGTGATAGCAACTGTAGTGACAGCAATGATCAATGGGCACCCATAGCCAATGGCAAAGCCAATGACCATCATTCGGGACTTCATCATCCTACGGAAAATGACCAATATTCCATAAATGATGAGCAATGCTTTGAAGAGCATCCAGAAAAACAGAGAGAGGTAGAAAAAGTGGCTGAAAAATGTCACTGCAACACACATGTTGTAGTCCTGGGCCTTAATGTTAAAGTGAGAGCCTATGATAAACCACACATTGGCAGTCAGAAGGGACACTGCTATATTCACGATGCACACGTGACGCATGTATGATATCTCCGTCACAACCACCCGGGACCACACTGTGGCTTCAATGATCAGGCAAAGAACCAAGCTTAGGATTGAGACGCTGAGCCCAATGCAGGTGATGTAGTCCAGAACTTTGTCGGTCATCGATTTGGAGGACATGAGAATGGAAAAAGACATCACCACACTGGTGTAGTTACAGCGGCATTTCACTTCGTTCCTGATATCCAACATCATTTGGCACGCTTTCTCATCCCATCTCCTTTTCTTGGAGTGCCAGCCAACACACTGGGCTCTGGCATTGCGGGTTTTATTGATCTTTTCGAAGGTGAGTATGATTTCTTGCAACCTTTCTGGTAAAACCACTGATAGCACCAGACCATTTACCTGTCTGGGAAGACTCACATTTTGCAAGTGGGCTTCTCTCAGGATAGCCCCCAAGGTTGGGAAAGCTATGCTAATGGCTTGGGATGCATTTGGCCACAGCTTCCTTAGCTCTTGCCTGGGAATCTGTACCATTCCTAAGATATCTTCTGTGGTATTGTTCATGCTCATGGAGAAATTGAGGCTTTTCTCTGAGGTATTATGGTTGATGTGAAACCCTTTTGTCTGAATGAAGAGTTCATTCACAATGTTCTCAGAATTATTGTGGATGTGGAGTTGTCTGGCAAACAAATTCACTGACTGCAACAAATCCGAGCTGGCATTTTTGTTGGGAATGAAAGCCCAGTTTGAAATGGCTGCTGTGTCGAGGATGTGGTTGGCCACTTCACTATAGCTCTGCAATGGAGAAAGGTGAACATTATACTAAGGATTTACACATTGTTGTACAAAGTTGATTTCTAAAACCTGAAATTTCTAAAGATCAGGTTACCCAATCTTATTTGGCATATTTCTCTTCAAATTCCCTATGTATTAGAATCCACATTAGTAAGGCCACACAGAGGGAAGAAAAGTAAAATAATGCAAAAAAAAATCACAGCTAAGGTTTACCTGCTTTATTATTGCACGCAGGGCAGCATTTCCAGACTGCAGTGTGTAGAACCCAAGTTTCCCATGAGATTTTAATGATTGTTTAATGGAGGAGAGTGGAGGTATGTTCTCTGGTCATCCAAGCTTGAGAAAGACTGCACACCCTGTCCCTATCTCCCTCTGCCTTACAAAGAATTCCAAAGTTCATTAGGATATTAAAGGCTCTGAAAAGTCCTGCCATATGGAAACTTGCCTAACTTTGTTTAACTCAGAACCTCCCACAACTGATGGGCTACAGATCTCCCTTTTAAAAATGGAATCTCCATTAACTTTCTCAGAATGGTTATGTTCTACAGCAGTGGTCCTCAACCTTTTTGGCACCGGGTACTAGCTTCATGAAAGACAATTTTTCCATGGACTCTGGGTGGCAGAGGTAGGGATGGTTTCAGGATGAAACTGTTCCACCTTAGATCATCAGGCATTAGATTTTCCTAAGGAGCACACAACCTACATCCCTCTCATAGGCAGCTCACAATAAGGTCCGTGCTTCTACGAGAATCTAATGCTGCAGCTGATCCAACAGGAGGCAGAGCCCAGGTGATAATGTTCGCTCACCCTCCGCTCACCTCCTGCTGTGTAGCCCAGATCCTAAGAGGCCACAGCCCGGTACCAATCCACTGCCTGGGTGTTGGGGACCCCTGTTCTAATATAATTTAGAAACATTAGTGTACATTCCGTCTTGCTCATAGCCATCACTACACTATGTGATATTTTCTTCAAAATATGAAGTGTGTACAAAGATAGGTATTAAAAATGTTTTAACTACTTGAAAACCTCCATAAACTATAATGAATCAATATCCCAAACCGAAGTGAAATGCCTGCTGTTGCTTTGATGGTTGCTGTCACTGTAGTTTTTGCCCTGGAAAGTATATTTGAAACTATTCAAATGAAAATTTTAAGAAAAACATCATTTTTAAATGATTAACAAAGAATACCTTCATTTTCTCTCGAGTAACATTATCAGACAAGTCTGTAGAAATATTTTTTAATAACTCCACTATAAATGCAATATTTCCAGATGTTGTTTCTGATGATTTCACCATGTCAGTGATGCAGGCATAATCAAAGGGGCAGTTCTTACGGATTCCTTGAGCTACACTCTCAATGGTCTCTGGAGCTCGAAAGTCTAGAATATGCAGAGGTATAGATGGTGCTGCTACAGAAAGGCGAGATGCACCAGTTGAGTCCTGTTTAAAACAAATGTAGTTTCATTCAAAAATGATTAAGTACCTACCATGTATCAGACTAAAGGAGTTAAAGCACAATCTACATGGGTAAGGTAGATGGAGAAGCAAAGAGTCCTAAAAAGTGGTTTTGATGCAGAGGGGGGTGGAGACGATACAGTGGGATCAGAAAGAGGCAGAGGATTTCACCCAAATTACCAGAAACCAGGATATTGACCTTTACTATTGGAATTTGCTTTCAGGACAGTGATTTTTAACTCAAGTATTATAACAAGATAATTTTCTACAGAGAAGGGAAAGAAGAACCACATGGAATTTCATGGGGGAGTGGATTTGGGAGGTTGGCAGGTCAAACACAGAATGCTAAGGAATGACAATTTCAGACTTTAGAGTTTACTAGTTAGAAGAAGTGATTTGCTCATTTTCTGATTCTTTTACCTAGACTCACTCAGAATGTGCTTTGTATAAAGCAAAGCAATTATTTATTTCCTTTCATTCACTTTCGAGTGTGACCATAGTTGCAAGGACTTCTAGGTGATTACCTAGGCTAAGTGACAGAGAAGCCAGCTGCAATCCCCTTGTAAAACCACTGTTAAAATTTTAGAAAATGCAGACATCCATGTGCTTCCATGGGATTGCAGGGGAGGTAGAAGAAAATAGTTGCTACCTGGAAGGATATAAAAGAGATTTTAACTTTAACTGGATGTGTTGTATGCATTCAATTCTGTTCCTCTAGATTGAGCACACATCTCTCCTTTCTTTTGGTCAAGAGATTGAAAGTATTAAAAAGAGATATCAAGGCCCGGCGCGGTGGCTTACGCCTGTAATCCCAGCACTTTGGGAGGCCGAGGTGGGCAGATCACGAGGTCAAGAGATCAAGACCATCCTGGCCAATATGGTGAAACCCCATCTCTACTAAAAATACAAAAATTAGCTGGGTGTGGTGGCACGTGCCTATAGTCACAGCTCCTCGGGAGGCTGAGGCAGGAAAATTGCTTGAACCCGAGAGGTGGAGGTTGCAGTGAGCTGAGATTGCGCCACTGCACTCCAGCCTGGAGGCAGAGCAAGACTCCATTTCAAAAACAAAAAAAGAGATATCAAAATAAATTTGATCCTAGATACATTTAGTTGATTAACTGATTATCACAAGAGGCATACCAACCCACCTTTAGAGCTAAAATGTAACCTCTAAGCAATCATATACACAATAGCATAAATGAGTTTCATATCTTTTTTTTTTTTTTTTTGAGAAAAGTTTCTTAGCGGGAGAAATAGAGAGCATATAGAGAGGAGGGAGAGTACCTGAAAGTTTGGGTAAGGAAAGAAGGTCAAGAAACAAATTTAACCCATTCTGTAGATTTTTCTAAGTGCGGATCTGAGACTTTTTGTCATGCTGAACAGATCACATTAAAAATGTGTCTACTTTCTGCTGGGGGATTGGCTTCTGTCACCAATAATTTGTGAATGCATCACCTTAAAGAGTTTTTCCACAGAAAGGCTTGTACATGTTTCAGCTGATTTTTGCCACTTTTTTTGATTACATGTAAATCCTATTTCTCCATGAAAGTCCTTAGCACAGGGCTGGCTGCAGTTGGAAGAAGAAATACAAGGTCCTTCGCATTTCTCTATAAAGAAAAAAAGAGAAAGAGAGAGAGACAGGAGCCCAATTAGGATTTCCACATTTTGACAGGTGCATCAAATTCATTCTGGAGATTTTTGGATTGCTTCCTGGAGGAGGCAATTGGGTTGAACTGGGTCCACGGCAATGAGTAAGAGCTGCCAGGTAGATTGTGCAGCTGGTATCCAGGCAGAGTAAACAGCACATGGAAAGGGGAATTTCACATCATTCAGAAAGGCTAGTCCAGAGCACCTGAAGGGGGAGTGGCAAGAGATGAGGGTGGGAAGGAAAGCAGGGGTTAACTCATGCAGGGCCTTGAATGCTGTGCTAATGTGGGAGTTACCAGAAGACATGATTGAACTTGTTTTTGAAAGATAATTGATGATAAGATAGAGCAGGAGTCCATAAACTTTTATGTAAAGGAACACATAAATGGAGTTGCTGGATAAAATATGGGAATCCCAGTTAAATGTCAATTTTATTTTCACACACAGTTGATTCTCATTATCCACAGGAGGTATGGTCTATAAAGTCACCATGAATACTAAGTGTTCTGAACAATTGCTCCTAGGGTAATATAAGGTTAGGGTCCTACAAGCTTCTGCTTACAACAATTTCATCAACTAATCAATATATGACCTTGTTTGATGTGTGTTTCTATATAAAGATACCTTATTTAATATATATTGTCGATTCATTAACATTGAACTCATGGGCAATAGCACTATAACTCATACCTGAACAAAGCTTATCTAACATATGCATTTTCTCCATAAGACACATTCCAGCCTTCTCTGGCTTAGGAATGCTAGGCAGGGCTTCAGCACTATGTTTGGTGGCTATTTTAAACAGCAAAATCACCAACAAAAAGCACAAAAATACAAAAAAAAAACTGTGATGCTACGTAGACTAGGAAAGAACAGTTGTTTATAGTAGGAGAGCTAGAACAAGAAGGTAAAGCATCACCTTGTCCAGCCCCTGCTGAAAACATATGCACTGGGCAACTCAATTTTTTGCTGCTCTCTGCATGTCTGTGAATGACCACAAAAGCACTGGGAGTATTGATTTAGGGAATACAAATAAATTTCAGCATTAGGCAAATATGCAAATATAGAATCTGCAAATAATAAATGACTGTAAATGCTCAGATAAACAACAAATAAGTTTTTAGTGTCTGTATGACCCATGCGATATTATTCATTGTTTATCTGAAATTCAAATTTAATCAGGCATTCTATATTTTCATTTGCTAAATATGGTAATTCTAGCCAGAGAGTAAATATTTTCAGCTTTGCAGGCCATATGAGTCTTAGTCACAACTACTCAACCCTGCCTTTGTAGTGTGACAGCAGCCAAAGACAATACGTAAATGAATGGGCATGGCTATGTTCCGAAAAAACTTTATTTACCAAAACTAGTGGCAGGCCAAATGTGGCCCATCGGTCAGAGTGCATGCACTTCAGATAGGAAGAACGAGGCTGTTGAAATATTCTCAGGTTAAGATAGCAGCTGGGGAAAATGGAAAGTAAATGATGCTGAGAGCTATTAGGGTGTTCAAATCAATAAAATGAGGTAACCAGTTGCCTGAGAGTCACCTTTAGTGGCTTGGGCAGCTCTGTGATGACTGAATTCACTGGAAAAGGAACCAAGCTTTGCCAAACCTTGTTTGCAAAATTTGCATCAAACCTTGTTTGTAAAATTTGCAACAGTTTTTGCAAGTTCATTAACCAGAGTAGTTCTCATTTTCTTCTTCCATATAGTTTGAATATGATGCCATAATGTTGTTACAAATATGGAATGAGACAGCATTTTATGCAACACTTAGATTCAAGTTGTCTTAAATGCCCAGTAAATGTTAGTTACCTTTCTCTCTGCTTTTCTTTCTGACTTCCACATCTATATAAGAATGTATTTGCCACCTGGCCATAATTGTGCAGAATCCAGTTATTCCCTACTACATGAGTGAGAACCACATGATTTCACTGAAGTACTCCTAGTGATTACCCCCTTAGTTTACTTCTCACTTCTTGAGAGTGACCAGTCTCATCACCATGATGTCCATCTTACAGTGCTTTAATAGAGTTCTCAGCACCAGAGTGTTGCATACATTTAAGCACCCTGAAAATATCTTTGAATGAAGGAAGAAATAATCTTGTCCTCTTTCCTTTTCTGCCTCCTGTTAACTCATTACTTTGAACAGATTTCTCTTTGGGATTTGGAAGTATGTATTTGTCTACTATTCTAGAGCACATGTGAATATTTGCTAACTCCCTTCATTGACTATGCCACTGGTAATGGTATAAATGTAAGAGAATCTATCAATACTGGTAAGCACAGAGGACTTACTGGAGATTGCTATTCAGTTGGAAAGCCTGTGGTCTGGGGACAAGCTTGCAACATCAGTGCCCTTCCTTTATTCTTCCCTGTCTTCAAATGGATGAAGACTGTTCTATAGCCACATACCTTGGATCCTTCCAGTCTTGGGTTTCCCTTCAGGGCTTTGAAGTTTATCTCCAGCCTGAAAAATATAAATTCCCAATGGTCCTCTTTACTGTGGGACTCTGCTCCCTCATCTCAGCTTAGAGGCTCCATATGAATATGAAAAGAAAATGTGTTCAGGACTAGAAAGAAAACTGCAGCAGATAAATGTGCTGGTATTGCGGTAACTTGCTGAAGGAAATGTGGATGAGAGCACAGGGAGAATGCACGCCCTCTGATAAGGGATAGAACCTTGATGGTGGTCACTTGGCCTTTCTAGGTGAAGTTAGTAGAGATGCTACATCTTTCAAAAAGTTTAAGCATCCAGGGAGAACACAGAGATGAGAATTAAACCACTAATCTGTTCTCTGCCTGTATTAACTGTAAGGATGAAATGAAGTTAATGTGGTCCACCAGATACTGTAGATCCTTAGAAGACAGAAATGAACAGGAATACTAGGAATACTAGGAATAATCACTAGGTAGCAATAATAGAATCACAAATCTCTTATGTCTATAAAGAACTATAAATAATATCTTTAAAAACTTCATCTTATAGATAAAGAATTTGGGACTCAGAAAAGTGAAACAACTTGTGCAACTAGTGGAAAGCAAAATTAAGATCTGACTCTCCATTGTTCAACTGCCAGGTGAGTACTTTCTTCTCTCAGCAGCAGTCTATCTACATTCTATCTACATTTCCCATTGCAGCTTGATTATTCTACTGTACTGTAGCTCTCCAGGCAAGTCCCTGCCACCTCTCAGCTTTTCTTTGTTCCCTTCTTTAGAAAGTTACTATCAGCAAGAGTAAAGTTGTAACCATTTGAAAATGTATTTAAAATGACATCTTATTTATCAGAAGTCTTGCCATTGAGGGCAACTGAGAGATTTCTCCTCGGATCACATAGGAATAGATCAAACTTACTTTTAGGTGAATCTTGGATCTATAGTGGGAACATTCTGTGGACAGAAAGAACACTAAGCAGCAAATCATGGTTGCCTGGGACTTCATTTTCATACATGAGGATCTTCACCTGCAATAGAGAAAGAAGGCATACCCACCTGAAGGTGACAACTTCACGCAACTAACAATACTTATCCGGCTAACCAACCCCTTAGTGAACCCACTAGATACTCTGAGATAGTCATGCCAAAGCAGCCTGCCCTGGAAAAGCACACCAATATCTATTTTCAAGCCAGCTAAAATGTACGAAAGAAAATAATTTCTCTCAACTGTTAACTTTTCTACAGAAGAAGATAGAATGATGGAAGAACCAGAACGGATGTAGTTTCACCAAAGCATCATTCCTTATTATTTAATTAACAAGTTTATTTAATAGTCATATTTATCAAGAATATCTATTTGCCAATAACTTTTCTAAGCACTGTCTTCGCATAAATTCCTTTAATCCTATGATGTAAGATGCTATTACTATCTTCATTTTATCATTGGGGAAAATAAGGGACAAAGAGTTGAGCAACTATGAGCCCAACATCACTCTGATAAAAAGTGGTAGAGCCACGAGTTCAACCCAGATGATCCAGCTGGACAGCCATTCTTCATCTCTGTAACAGGATATCTCTGTGACGGTGCTATTGACATTCTGGATTGGACAATTCTTTGCTGTTGGGGGCTGTCCTGTGAATTGTAGGATGCTTAGCAGCATCCCTGGCCTCTACCCAATAGATGCCAGTAGCACTCACTACCCGCCCTCAATTGTTGTCAAATGTGCCCTTGGAGGAAAAGACCTCCCCCAGTTGAGAACCACTGTCCTATAGTGTACTGTCTGTCTAGGCATATGGAGACAAGTAACTTAAAGTGAAATTAATAAACCCAACCGTCTGCTACCGGAGCAAGCTCTGAGACTCCCTCTTAGAGATGGATAAACTACTATACAGAGAAACTAGATGCGCAGGAAGATAACTCTCTATTCTTTTGCCATATCTCTGTTTCTTGCCTTTTTCCTGAGAGTTCTACCTTTCAAAGCCAAATCTCAAAAAAAATCCTTACAACAGTTGAGATTTATCAACATCATCATGATCATTACTATGACACTTTCATATGGGATAGTGGCAATTCAGACCCCTTATTGGCAATAAAGTTCCTTAAAATGATTTTCCTGGAAATCCAGATGCAGCAAAATAAAAAGATCTTTGATTTTAGAATCAGCAAGAACTATACTATAATCTGATGTCTACTATGGATGAACTAGCCTATTTTTTCATCCATTTCATAAAATGTAGATGATCATTCATTCTATCAACCAACATTTACCAAGTGTCACTCATTTGCTAGAAATTGTACCAGATGCTCAGCATACAGAAATAAAAGATGCTATTTTTCCTGTAAAAGATGTTCAGTGGGTAACAGACAAGTCAAACCAACAGTGAGAAGAGAGATCACCTACACATCACATTCAGTGAACACAACCAGGCAAAGACTATCCTCAGCAAACATAAATTCCCTTATGATCCAGTAGAGATGACCTAGGTCCTGATCCAACTAGGTTCATAAGGCAATCAGTGACCAGGGAGCCGACAGAGCTCACTGATCTGACATCAGACCCTTTCTGGGTAGAGTCAAGCATAAGATGGACTTTCCTGGGTCCAGTGAGCCTTCAGCTGAGATGACAAGCCACAGGCACTTACAAGAATGCTTCCAAATTATCTTTGAGTTTCAAGTTTCTAACCAATGAACAGAGGGGAAGGTGTGTTTATTTACAACATCATCTGGCAGAGCAAGTCTGAGCAAAGGAAAGAGAACATGGCAGCATGACAGGCAAGGTGTGGTAATAGATTTGATAGGAGCTGGGATTATGAATGTGGAATTCATGATCTTACAGTGTGGGTAGAAAGAAGTCTCCATGTAGGCCGTAAATTGATGAATGGGCCTAAGCAATTTGCAATGTGAATATTGTCCAAGATAGATGCTTAACTGATCATCACTAAAGAAAGTACCAGAAGAAACAGTATAAATTGTTTTAAAAGTATCCATATGTTTCACATATACGACTTTGGCTTTCAAAAATTTTTGACAGGCCGGGCACGGCAACTCATGTCTGTAATCCCAGCACTTTGGGAGGCCGAGGTGGGCAGATCACGAGGTCAGGAGATCAAGACCATCCTGGCTAACAGGTGAAACTCCATCTCTACTGAAAATACAAAAAATTAGCCAAGTGTGGTGGCAGGCGTCTGTAGTCCCAGCTACTCTGGATGCTGAGGCAGGAGAATCGCTGAAACCCTGGAGACAGAGGTTGCAGTGAGCTGAGATCGCACCACTGCACTCCAGCCTGAGTGACAGATGGAGACTCCATCACAAAAAAACAAAAACAAAACCTTGACAATGACACAATAAAAAACAGATCTTATATTATGACTCACTATGTACAGACATACATAGATATGTATCTATGTATGTATATCAGTGTCTATACATAAAACCAAAAAAGCATAATTTTTATCTTTACGATTTTTATGTAAAAATACTTATCTTTGCTACCTACAAGCAAGAACTCTGATATATCCAATATTTTTATCTTACATTCTTCTCTATTCTATTTGACATTCTCTCAAATACTAGTTGTCACCCACTAAGTTTAATTCACAAGACTCTAATGGATTGTAACCTGCAGTTTGAAAAACAGATACAGACTATAAGATTCATTTTGATTATCAAGCTGAAGATTGTTCACTTCTCTCATTAAAGTGATCACTTTAATCCTTTCTCTTTGCTAGCCTTCACAATTATACTGAAGTCTTCTTCACAGGGTGTGTGTGTCAAGGAGAAAAGAAACCTATTCTCAGGACCAAATAATAGGACCGATGCTGAAGGCAAACCCAATTCCTCTCCACATTTCAGATCATAGTCAGAAATGTGCACTAAAATGGGTGAAGGCGAGACGAAGGGAGGCATTTGTAAAGAATAGCACCTGCTGCCGGGTGCAGTGGCTCATCCCTGTAATCCCAGCACTTTGGGAGGCTGACCTGAGGTCAGGAGTTCGAGACCAGCCTGGTCAACGTGGTGAAACCCCATCTCTACTAAGAATACAAAAATTAGCGAGGCATGGTGGTGGGCATCTGTAATCCTAGCTACTTGGGAGGTAGGAGAATCGCCTGAACCCAGGAGGAGGAGGTTGCAGTGAGCTGAGGTCATGCCATTGCACTGTAGCCTGGGTGACAAGAGCAAAACTCCGTCTCAAAAAAAAAAAAAGAATAGCACCTGTTATCTGAGGCTTCAGGAGAAGGGTCATGTTTACTGTCCATTACCTTTAATATAGGAGTTTTGTTTTGAGCTAACCTTGTTGAAAGAAAGTATTTGGCATAATGATGTGATGTCATTTGTGAAGTCTAAAAATGTCTCTCCAACTAGTGCTAGGCCTCCAGCTGCACACAGCTCCTGAACGTGTTCAGGGAGTAAAGGATCCAACAGCTATGACATTTTCTGCAAATCATGCTTTGTGGAACAATATTGAATAATGATACATTTCATATATGTACATAAATAAAAACTTTTACTAGCATAAAATATATATGTAATATGAAATCATAAGCGTGACCATAAAATACATGAATTTGAACTAAGCACAAATGGCTGAAGGGTTTTGATTAATTAATTTGCTACTTGATCATTCATGTTTCTATAGTCTGGCATATGTAACTATATACCATTTGGGATGGTAATTTATATAGTAAATTTCCTTCCGATATTACAAATGTTGGGGGAGAATATTCAGTGACATTACCCAAGAGGAATCATAGCATTTTTATTTTAGCCCAGTTTGATTGGCAGCGATGGATTAGATAGACATTTTCAGGTTAGCCCTAATTTGGTTGGTTCTCTTCTCACCAGAAAGGGTCGAATGGGATCCCTCCTTTCAGAATTCAAATGTAGCTAAGGCCAAAAGCCAGAGTCCTCTGCAGAGAAGAGCTTAAGGATTCTGAGAATGAAGAATTTAAAATTTTATTAAAAGCTTTGGCAGCATAATTTATCCTCCTAATTCATCCATGGTTGATATTTTATAGAATGTAAAGGAGGAAACACACATCCTTAGATCTACCACTGATAAAGATTAATAATTAAAGTGAATTGGAGTTTATCAACATTCCAAACTGAAAAGTTTCAGTAAACACAAATATAGTATCTCTCCAGCACCTAGCACATGTCTATATGTAGTGAGTGGTCTCCTGAAAGGATGAGGGAAAGAAAAGAACAAGCATGCAAAACCTAAATATTAAATTAAATGTAACAAGAAGAGTGAGAATTGTCCAGATGGATATAAGCAAACCATGGTCAGTACCTAAAGAAGAAGCTTTCATATGGGAGCCTGATGGGGGCTAACTCACCCAGGTGAGGGACATACCAGTTTCTGGTAAAGAGTGGACAGCCAGTGCTAGATCCTATCCTATGTGGAGAATCCAGACTTGTTCCAGGCATATTCTCCTTAAATTACCTTTATTCCATTTATTGACTTCTGGTTCTACATTCTGTTCAGTTTGTCAACAAAATTGTGTATTCTCTTATATTCTCTATCTTTATAAACCCTCTGTGTATGGTGGCAGAAAAACACTTTGTTGGGAAGAGACGTCTCCATTTAAATCAAGATTCTAGTACTCAGTGAGGGGAAACAAAAACAGCAAGCAGTAATTGTGACAGAATAATGCTGGAACAAGACATATTTATGTTTGAGGTTGATGCATATTATCCACCATTTGTTTGTCAACCATTTGTAGCAGGCACAAAAAGGTTAAAGAAAATGGAACAGAAGAAAAATTTAACCTTGAAGGCATTTATATAGACTGACCTAATTTTCTTTGAATTCGGGGAGTGGGACTGCTCTACTTTTAGTAGGCAAACAACGGAGGCTTTTGTGTCTACTGTATTTGACCAAGGCCTTGTGTCCTCACATGGGTTTCTGTGGAAGACTGGTCTCATAAAAGCCAAAGGGGTTCCATGGTCATATCAGTTTGGGAAACGATGGGTAACACCACTGCCCAACTCCCCCCAACACACACACAGACACACACACAAACAGGCATGAACACATATCAAAGGTTCTGAGATTTCTTGTAGTAAGAAAACTGTTTCACCCAGGATTTACCAATTCACTTGATAATCAGAAATTCTAGGCCAGGCGCAGTGGTTCACGCCTATAATCCCAGCACCTTGGGAGGCCAAGGCGGGTGGACCACCTAAGACCAGGAGTTTGAGATCAGCCTGACCAACATGGTGAAACCCCCTCTCTACTAAATACAAAAAAATGAGCCAGGCGTGGTGGTGCATACCTATAATGCCAGCTACTTGGAAGGCGGAAGCAGGAGAATCAAATCGCTTGAACCTGGGAGGCAGAGGTTGCAGTGAGCTGAGATTGCACCATTGCACTCCAGCCTGGGCAATAAGAGTGAAACTCTGTCTCAAGAAATAAAAATAAAAATAAATAAGTAATCAGAAATGCCTTGAGGAGTTTCAAGCTGCTATTCCATCACAATATGTTATCTTGGAGGAAAACACATTAATCTATCCAGACTTAGGCTACACATGTATTTGTTGGGCATCTACCTAATGCCCGTCACTGTGCTGATATGTTCATGGGAGCTCTTTAAGTCATTCACAGCAAAGCTTGGGTGACCACAAGAAAGAAATCAGTTTCAGAAATGAAGAATTAAAAAGTGAAAGAGAAAACAAGAAGCAAAAGAACTCTTGCCTGAGGCTATCTGTGGCAAGAAGGTAAATAAAGGGTTAGTCATTTATAAATTCCCTCCAATTGCTATACTAGTCACCCAATAAGGGCAGCTCCACATCTCCTTCCCAAGGTGTCTGCAAGATGATTTATTTCAGAGATAAAAGCAACTAAGCCACCTAGAAACGCAGCTTCTTGGGACCTGAAAAAGTCACGTCGCAGGTTCCTTCTCCTCCACTTCCATAACCCGCCTCTTTCTGTGCATGATTATAAAAGTGTTAATTACCCACTATAATTCACCTTTGTTTTTCACACAGTACTAAAAAGCAATTCAAGCCTGCTGAATGGAGGCCAGGCTCCCTGCTCTAACATGGTCATTACAAAGAAAAAGATAACATTTGCTGGTCATTACAAAGAAAATAACATTTGCTGGCCTCAGAGAGTTACAGGCAAACACAGCTAGACCTGATTGTCCCAGGGTGAATGTGTCTAAGGATCTACCTCTCCATCAAGTTTACAGTAATCAGCGACTTTCACACCGCTGCCTAAATTCTAATCACAATGGGTCAACAGAGCACAACAATTTGTGCTCTTCCCCCCCAGAGCCTGAGAGAAATTAGGCCACACCTAGTGAAATAGGCAAAAAAATGTAAACACCTGATGTTTCTCTATCCTCAGCACCCAGCAGAGGATAAGATACAGAATAGACACTCAGTAAACATTTGTTGTATAAGTGAATGAATTGGGAAATGATTCCTGCAGAGTGACATCAGCATCTGAAGTTTTTGCTTTAAAATCATGAGGCAACTTTTCTATCTCAGAGGGTCAGGTGAGCACGTTTGCAACTCTAGATGATTTTGGAACCTGGTGACTTAAGTAGATGCCAGTCCTACTGTGGACCTCCTCTTTATTGTACTGCCTGGAGCCTTATGTGAAAAAAGAATTGAGCAGGAAATAATGCCATGCCAGGTTAGGGATGTCCGCCATGGGCACAAGAGGGTGTCATAACAATGCATGTGTCTTTTTCCACACTGTCTCCATAAGTCAGAACTAATAAAACCCTATTTCTCCAGACAGACCCAGATGACCCCAGCTGTTCTGAAACACCATCTCCTATTTGTCCCATCTTGCTTGTACCTGGAGCAGATTTTCTGAATGAGTTGGAATTTAAAACTACAGTGAGTCTGTCTGGGTACTGGAGCTTCTTTCTGAAACATGCCAGATGGAATTGTAGGGGATGACTCACACAGACTGAGTACTCCCTACCCGTCTGAACACGCTGAGTGCGGCCTGACATCAGGACTCCCAAAGAAAATTTTAAAAGGTCAGCTGGGAACTGTAAGTGTAGTCAGTCAGGAAGGAATGCATCAGAAGGTGTGATCTCGCAAACCTGTTCATGCAAAACACCCTAAGGTGAATGGCCAAGAATATTTGTGAATCAAGGAAATACTTTCCCAAAGGGTTCCTCTCCCCGGAACTGTACCACAAGGTGAGAGGGAGTGCCTCTTCTCACTTTTTTGCCAGTCTTCAAGGTGGCAATTCGCCTCTTACTCCCAGGCCAGACCATTGTCTGATGGGAACAACCAATCCAAAGAGGTTAACTAGAGGGCAAGGAACCTAAGAGTTAAGTGACCCACATTTTGGGGGGGGGGGTGTGTCGTCTGTGTGTGTGTGTGTGTGTGTATGTGTGTGTGTGTTGTTCCCCTAATTCTATAACTGTCTGTCTGTTTCCTCTGTTCCAGTAGTATAATTAGAACTCTGATTATAACATCAGATGGATAAACGAGTTGTTTATGTGTTTAAGACCCAGTATCTCTTGCCCTCATAGCAGAATCTATTTAGTTACCCTTAGAGTTCTCCCTTGCCATGGAAGAAATGCTTCACATAGAGCCTTGGGGGAAAGAAAGATAGAAAAGAACTATTAGAATCAGAAACATCTCATCTTTAGCTACTTTAGATGGCTTCCAGCCAATCTGTTTGTAGCCCAGCATCTCTTCTAAAAATTGGAATCTGGATTCAGATTCTGATAGGTTTCAAGAATCACATAATTTCAGAGTTGGAAGACAATTTCAGAGTTAGAAGACATCTAGATATCTCACCAACTATCTTGATACTTATAAAATTTTAAAGAAATTTATACGCCCAGCAATTGCCTCTGGTCCATGAAGAAAGCTCATGATGTGCTGACACTGAAAAACAAACAAACAAACAAATAAACAGCACCTAATGATGCAACACTTTAGACCTCTCACAACTGTCTTCAGAGTATAAGGAATATAGACCTTCAAGTAGCATAGAATTGGCCACTTGAAACAAGGGAAGATGCCTTTGCAAAAACGTGTTTGGCAGTAACTGGAGAAATGTTTTTTTAAATTGATACAATGATAGCTTTTTCAGGCTCACTAAAAGAAGAAACTAATCAAGAACACTTTTAAAACAACATCCAGCTTTACATTCAGTCTAAAAGACAGGTATTGAAATTTATCAAGCAAGGGGACAATGCAGGGACAGTGAGTTTATTTGCCTGACAGGATACTTTGCATTTTCACTCCTAGGAGTGAGCCATTAAAGCCTGACAAACAACTCTTAAAGAAAAACAAACGTAAAAGAGGCTTAGGAAATACTCCAACCTTGAGCTAGCCAATTTCTAAATCATGTTAGAGAAGTTTCCAGAAGAATCAAGCATTCCAGAAAATACCATCATATATCACGCATTTCCCCCTCCTGGAATATGTGCAAAAACAAGCCTTTCTTCAACAGGAAAATGGTGCTGGTGTAGGACATCTACTCACGGCATCCAGGAAGTAGATCTAGCAGCCCAGAGGTGGAGAATCACCCAGCAGGAAGGTCAGAGCTCAGCTCCCTAGCATGATGCCTCACCATCACGTGGCACCTCCCACGGTCCCTGGTCAGTGGCTGTGATCTGTCTTCTCCATTTTTGAAATGGGAGTCCAAGGGGCCCAGTGAGAACTGACTGCCTGTTGCGAGAAGCCGATCTGAGAACTGTAAAGTTACCCACAGTTTCAAGGCTTGTGCAAGTCTGTGATTCACTCCACTATGGGTCCATGAAGCACGCCTAAGAGAAATTACAGGTTTCTCCTGTCTGAAGCAAATCCATTAAAGTGAGTCACTTGTTTGTCTTTCAGTTCTTCATCCTTATCTCAGATGATTGCATGAGACTCTGCTTGCATCTGCTGCACTGGGATAATTGGAAGGAGGGTGATAAAATGCAAGGTTATGCCACTATTGTTGATGATTTTTAAAGGCTGATACTTTTTTTTTTTGCCTGTTCTGATGTTGAACTTGGAGGAAATTGGCTGATAAACTGGTGCATCAATTGTGATCTAATTCCTAACCTAGCAACAGAGAGATTTCTGTTTTATTTTTGTAATGACCGGGACAAGGAGTTCTCACTGAGCCACTACATGACTGTGGTAATTCAGACACAGAAGACACTGTGTCCACTTGTGGGGAATGCACACGGTTTGACTTTGGACAGGGGAGCCAGTTTGCATTGTTCTGCTAACCACCAAACAGTCCCACACATCCTAGTTCTACTGTTGTCTACTCACAGGCCTTCCTTCCCCAAAGATCTAAAGCAAACCCTCATTTAGATATTTCCAGGAGAAATGTGGACAATAAGGAGAGGTAAGTGAGGAGGCAGTTTTGTTATGGGTTTTATAGCAATGAAGGTCAAGGAGGTGCTGTTTATGGAAATGGGTCAGCTCCATTTAGGTCAGTAGTTAAGAAATGGCTCATTTGGGAAGTGGAAAAGCCAATATCAAGCCATTGTGTAATCAAAGGACTTTTTATTGCACATATTTACCGAACATACTCTATGTACAAGGCACCATGCTCTGCACTATGGGCATACAAAAGTGAGTAACACAGTGAGTAACAAAAGTGAATACCCCATTCCCCAAAACATATACATATGCACACAAAAAGACCAAAAGGAAATAAACAATATAACACAAAAGTGAAGGACATAGATTATAAAATTACAGGAAATCAGGTGGGGAGAATCAGCGCTTCTGGTTGGACCAATCAGGGAAGAATTCTTGAAGAAGGCAGAAAGTGAGGGAGAGCTCAGGCACACGTGCAGTGAGCAGATCCCTGTGATGTGTACTCTTTCCTGGCCAGGTAACTGTGTATTATGACCACAGTAATGAATGAAAGGATTTTTCAATGGTAAGCTCAACAGATTTTGCTGGCTGATACCCCTAATGTTGAACAGACCAAATCAAATGCTTAACTCTTTAATTTGGAAGTCAGTGAACTAGTTCCCATGAGGGTGTCTTCAGCCAAACTTATGCATGGGGTCATGGCTGTGTGTTTGCTTGTGTTTGCATGTGGGTGGGTGGGTTCATGTATTCACAGGACTCTAATTTAAAAAAAACAACTAAAACTAACATGTGAATTTGAATGAGCAATTATTATGAGCCAAGTACTATACTACTTTACCTACATTTATCCACTTAAAGTCTCAGGGATTTAAATGGCTTTCCCAAGAATCATTATGTATTAAGTCTGATACTTAAAAATCTGCCTTGGATACTATCAGTACCAATTTCTCCTAGAGTCACCTGACCAAATCACTTTCTTGGTGCGGTGTCAGCAGGAAACTGAATGTGTCTCTACCCAGGGTCATCCAGAGTCAACCTAATCCATGCAGTTCCTTGACATTTTTCAAGATGGTGTAGAGTGGGCTTTGGGATGCAGGAGAGAGGGCATAGCTTCTTCCAGGAATTCCCAAATAATTCCAGAGTTTTTCTCTAAGCATCCTTGGGGTTTCTTGGTTAATGATGAAGCTAAGGTGGGGTTTCTTTCCAACCATCCTGTCTCAGGGAGTGAGTATAGCTGAGTAGTGAGTACTTCCATAATAGATGTGACTGCTCAAGACACAAAGCAAATGCTAGGCCAATCCCTCCCTCTCTCCCTAGTGCTCAGAGCTGTTATCTGTGAAATGAAGCAATTGGAGTTCATCTTTTATAAAATTTGTCCAGAGTTACCATCCTATAACTATATTTGCTTCATGAAATTCCATTTTCACTTCAATATATGGACTCTGGGTAAGTGACATCTCTTTGTACCTAAGCCTGCATTGAGGAAAACCAGGACTATGTCTATCTCACCCCTTCTCTTGAAAAGAACATACAAATCTATTGGTAAATGGTAAATTAAAACCACTCTCTGACTTTATTTGTGAAGGATGCTTTTGTTGTCCCAAGATAAGCAATGCCATTTGAAAAATGACTATTTCTCCAGGTTGATGCATTTTTTTTAACTTCAGATTGATGCTTTTTGTCTGCTCAAACTTTCCTACTTATAGGAAGATTATTTGTAATAAGAAACAAAGAAAGAAAGAAAGAGAGAGAGGGAGAAAAAAAGAAAGAAAGAGAAAGGGAGAAAGAGAGAGAGAGAGGGAGGGAGGGAGGGAAGAAGGAAGGAAGGAAGGAAGGAAGGAAGGAAGGAAGGAAGGAAGGAAGGAAGGAAGGAAGGAAGGAAGGAAGGAAGGGACTGCACTCATACCTAAGGTGAGCCCCACTTTCTCCTTTGTAATGAAACGTCATCAATACTGACTTCTTGTTGGGATAATTAAAGGCTGCCCATTGCCCCTTTGCCTTCATCCACTAGTTAGATGCTGCTGCAGTCATCTATGTCCTTGCTTTGTAAAGAGGTTTTTTTTTTTTCCTCAAAGAGCTTCTACCTACAATACTGTTCTATCAGGTAACACCTGGTTTGAATGTTGAATTTGTTTACATACAGGTTAAGAAAAAGAGCAGCTCTGAATTGGAAATGTGATATTTCCTCTCTCCAATCCCAGGTATCAAAAAAGCATATTGTTGGTGAGGATTGACCTTACATTGTCAGTGTAGGCAGAAGATCTTTCAGTGTCTATATGGTCTTGAAGAGGAAGTACAGGGCTGGGAGCCAGCACACTTGGGTTTCTACCTCTGGCTCAGTCCTCGATTAGCATTGACTCACAACTCCAGACTTCCATCTCCTTAACTGAAAATGGTCATCTTTCTGTCTCAAAAGCTCTATGCTTTTCCCCTTGGTTCATGGCCAAGGAAGTTGTATCTAAGCCTAAACCAAGTTGACAATCCAATCTATTTAAATTTGAAAAAGTGGATATACTGGCAGTGGATTCCTTTTGAAAAAAAAAAATAATCTGCAATGTCCTACTTAGAGTCAGCCCAACTCTTTGTGACTATTCATGAGGCTCCTCCCTCAGCAACACACAGAATCCAGCCAGGTGAAATCTCAGGCCGCCTTTTCCAAGATGAGACAGAGGTTGCTTTCTGAAGACAAATGTGACCCAACAGCATAGAGATGGAAGCCCCAACAAAAACCACGGTTGTGGCCCCCTTTGTCTTTTTGTTTGCTGTGGCTGCCCAGCATGACATATGTAGCTATGTACAGTTGATGGACGAGAAATGTTTAGTAGCACAGAACAGCTTAGACAGAGGAGCCTTTCATCCTTTCTGCACATCACGCCCTCCTCCATCAGCACCACATGTGTGAGCTTCCTACATATTCTCCAGAAGCAAGAAGACAGGAATGAGCACATTTCTCCTTTGGGCTCTGCCATTCCTGAAATATACAACCCTGTCAAGAACAGAAGATCACAGCTTTAATGTACAGGTAGCAAGATTCATAGGCTTTACAACATCTGCATTATAAGCTCACTGTCTTGAACAATGAGCCCATTTGGGTACATCCCTTATGGCCGATGGAGAGTCTCCTCCCTTTAAGCCACTTTGGAATCCAGAGAACAGTCTTTTCTGTTGCCAACAAATGCTGAATTACACACCTTGTCTTTCTCTAAGCTGGGCCACCTCCTTTTCAGTGTAACACTTCTTGGAAAAGACCCACTTTTTATACAAGGCCCTGGACTGCTACAGAAAGCCACAAAGGCTGCTGGAGCCTGGATGTGTTGGGATGAGGGGTGGGAGGCCCTCTCTACATAGCTGAGTGCATCTATCTCTGTTTCTGTCTCTGTCATGCTGTATGTGTCTCTGTGAGTCCATCTCTCTGGGTTTTTTTTTTTTCTGCATTTCTCTCGATCTCCCAATGCATCTCTTATCCTCTCCGTGCATCTCTCTGTCTCTGTCTCCCTATGAATGTGGGTATCTCGATGTGGGTTCCTCTGTCTTCCTCTCTTTTCTGTCTCTAGATCCAGAGGGACATCGAGACACAGGATTGGAAGACTTGTGTCTGCACATGTCCTTGTGTCTAGGTGGCTCTCTTCTAGTCGTGAGCCACCATGTCCCTCTGTCTTTGTGTATCTGAATTTCTGTTTCTCCCTGTGGCTCCTTTCTCCACTTCTATTTTTCTATATATCTTTGTCTATCTCTGAGATCTCAAATGTAAATAAACGTCTCCATCATCCCTGAGGCCTCTCACAGCTATTATTTATCATAATACCTTGATCTTTTCAGGCTAGGGAAAAGAAAGGGGCCACAATGGGAAATCTGGGGATACTGCTGATATCATATAGGATGTCCTGGGATAGAGAACTAGAGAGAAGATTGAAGAGAGGGAGCAGCTAAGTAAAGCAGGCAGCTCTCCTCACTCCCATCTAAAAATCACCCAGGCTAATTTAAAAGCATTTTCAGACACGCCTGCTTAATTTTCAGGGACAAAAAAAATTTCAGTAGCTTAAGAATTTGAAGTGTGAATATATTTCCAACCATAGCTAGGTGAGAATAGACTGTATAGTAGAATCCTTTTAATGAAGAAAAAATCATTTCTAATTATAATTAATCAAATTGCAATTTTAAAAGAAATGTCACATATATGACATATATGGGAACCCCTTGCTTTGCACTCACCTCCTAGGTTAGGGATGTAGCCTGGTTTGTTAACTTGGGCCTTTGATGGGATGACAAGATAATTCAGAAGAAGCATTCTGTTGAAGACAAAGTAAAATTGCATTTATTAAATATCATTATTAGTCTGTTTTCAATTATCACAATTATTCAAAGCATCTAGGGAATTGTGATCCACAGCAATTTCTTTTATTCCTTCACTTTATTCCTCTCCTCTCCTTCTGTTGTTTTTTTTTTCCTTGAGACAGAGTCTCACTCTGTCGTCTAGGCTGGAGTGCAGTGGCGCAATCTCGGATCACTGCAACCTCTGCCTCCCAGGTTCAAGCGTTTCTCCTGCCTCAGCCTCCCGACTAGCTGAGACTACAGGCATCCACCACCACACCCAGCCTCGTGATCTGCCCACCTCGGCCTCCCAAAGTGCTGGGATTACAGGCATGAGCCACTGTGCCCGGCTCCCTTCTCTCCTTTTTTATATTGGAACTGCTGACAACATAGGAACTGACTGCTGTGAGAGATCCTCCTCCTCCTTGGCCTGGCCTGGCTCTGCCTACTGAAGGAGACCCTAATTTGGGAGGGTGTTGGACAGTGGAGAAGACATTGAGTGGCATGGAGAGAGAGAGACAGCAAAATGGCTCCAAGATCTCAAATAACTCTTTCTCAGCTGGTCTGCTGAAATCCTCAGCGTTAAAGCCAAGCCCTTGTAATGCACCTGTGTCCAGAGGATGTCCTCGTTTTTTAGAAATGTGTTGCCTAAGATAGGTAATACATTAACTCACTGGTAGAATTACTACCACATAAACATAGGCTAATTCATCACTTCAGATATAAAATGAACACAGACAAGCAAATTTATTATGCTGGGTTTGGGAAGCAGGACTGATACTACCCAAGCAGGTGCCATGAGGAGGGGAGTTGAATCTGGACTACAGAAGATTGCTACCTAGGGATTAGAGGCCTACAAAGCAGAAGAGAAGAGCACAGATGAAACACCTACTTCTGTCCTCTGAGCAGGGTTGATAAAACTAATTGCAGGCAGTGACCTAAAGTTAGTGAGCAAGAAATGAAGGGAGAAGTGCAAGAAATTAGGATAAATTTACCTAGTACCTAGGCCAGTGATTGTTAACCCAGATAGCACGTTAGAATCACTGTGGAGCTTTAAAGAATGCTTAGGCCCTACCTCCAAGAGTTTCTAATTTAATTTTTCTTGAGTACGGCCTGGAAAGTGTGTGTGTGTGTTTTTTTAGACGGAATCTCCCTCTGTCACCCAGGCTGGAGTGCAGTGGTGCGATCTCGGGCTCACTGCAACTCCTCCACCTCCCAAGTTCAAGTGATTCTCCTGCCTCAGCCTCCCGAGTAGCTGGGACTACAGGCATGTACCACCACACCTGGCTAATTTTTGTATTTTTAGTAGAGATGGGGTTTCACCATGTTAGCCAGGATGGTCTCAAACTCCTGACCTCAGGCAATCTGCACACCTCAGCCTCCCAAAGTGCTGGGATTATAGGCGTGAGCCACCATGCCCTGAAGTGGTATATTTTTAAAGCTTCTTAGGTGTTTCTAAGGTACAGCCAACAACACCACTGAATCAGACAATCGACAACTACTCATAAAATGCTGGATATTATTTTGACTTATCAGTCACATAAAACCACAAAGAGAAGTGGAAGAAATGACTAGGATTTTATGACACTGAAAAGCAGAATTTCTCTATGATGACCTGAATGGATCAATTCTGAAACACGTAAGGAAAGGAGCAAAGCTAAATTGGAAGGGATTGAGAGAGTCAGGACTCTCTCCTGAGAGCACCACGGCAGACCAAAGTGAAAGAGGAGAGTACTTACATCAGGGATGCTTGTTGGAGACAAATATTTTCAATGCCAGAACACTTCAGGGAGTCTTTAGATGAATGACCCTCAACCTTGAATGTACATTAGAATCACCCGGGGAGCTTTCAAAACCCCCAAATCCAAGCCACACTCCAGACCAATCAAATGAGAATCTCCAGGGGTGTGACCGAGGCAACCCCATTTTTTGAAGCTTCCCAGTTTATTTTAATGTGTAGCCCAAGTTGAGAACCATTGCTTTAGACATTTATTAATGTCATTTGCATTAAACTTTGGGTCTTTTTTTTTTTAAAGCTGAAAAGGGTACAGAGAAACCAGCAGACTCCCAAGTATGGAGACCAAAGACTAAAAACAAGACCAAAGGTTAGGTAAGAGTAAGGCAAAAGGGAACAGGAAAAGAGAGGGAAGAAAGAGAAGAGAAGAGGAGGGCTGAAGAAATCAACAGAGAGAGAATGGGAAGGCAAAGAACGAGGATGGGGCAACACTGCTCTCAGGGCCACAGGGTGCCCAGCCCCATCAATTAGCCTCTCTCCATGCAGATCCCCTGAAGCCCCAGTCCATGACAGGAGATGTGGACCCTAGCAGACACTGGCATGGGAGGCTCTAGATCACCTCCTTGCTTGTTTTGGGTGTATTCCTTGGGCCAACCCTGAATCTCCTTTTGCTGCCATTTAAAAGTTTTTTAAAAAATTGAGCGGCAGTTTTTCCCTCCCTCAAAACAGTTCATGGCCCTCATTCTTTGCATAACAAAACAATGTTTCTAAGTCACAGGAATAGAAGATAAGTTAACGACCCTGTTATAGTCCAGCCTGCTGTCCAATGACTGAATCTTCTCTACAGCAACCCTGTGCAGGCCCCAAGCCCACTTAAGCCACTTCAGTACCATGGCAGCTGGCCCCTCTTGAGCAGTTCTTTGTGTAGGATCAGAATTTGTTTCCCTGGAGTTTTTACACTTTGGATGTGGGCCAACTGATTGGAGTCATAGAGAACAAGTGAGATGTCATGGGAACCTAAGACTTCTCTCATTTCTTTCATCACCTGCTCTCCTACTATGTGGTTTGAGATTCACCCTCCAACGCCAGCCACCTTGTCACTCTCCTCTAAATTCATGTAACTCCACTTGCATCTCTTTGCATCCCCATATTCCAGAAAGAATCTCAACTGTTTAAGAGGCACCCATCACTTCTGGGAAATCCACACTGCAAAGTGTTAAGGTGAGAGTGTTAGCAACACTCCATATGCCAGAAACTCCAAGATTGTTATCTTGTTAAACTTTTAAATACAAAAATGAATATGAAAGCTTTACCTCTGATATTCTGGAGCTCCTTTTTGCAGAGGCTACTCAACCCTTTAAGGCTTCTCTTATCTGGATATTTAACAAAAGAAGTTAAGAATTAGAAGATCATAAGAAGATAACACGTATGCTTGGGCCTGGCAGATATTGTGGCCAGGTACTGTGTTAGCAGCTAGGTTCTGTTGGAGGGATATGGTGGCATCAGTGACCTCTGGTGGAGTAGTCTTGGAAAAGGTGGAAAGATGGGAAGAGAAAAGAGAGGTGGAGATGGCATAGGATACTCACTTTCAGGGCCTTAAATATGGACCCAATGCCTGAGAAATGCAGTTTGCCACAAGTTTGAGAATTCCTCGACATAGCTTCTATTTTTTTTTTCTTGAGATTCAGTCTCACTCTGTTATCCAGGCTGCAGTGCAGTGGGGCCATCTCGGCTCACTGCAACCTCCGCCTCCCGGGTTCAAGCAATTCTCCTGCCTTAGCCTCCCGAGTAGCTGGGATTACAGGCGTGTGCCACCATGCTTGGCTAATATTTTTGTATTTTTAGTAGAGACAGGGTTTCACCATGTTAGCCAAGATGGTCTTAATCTCCTGACCTCATGATCTGCCTGCCTCGGCCTCCTAAAGTGCTGGGATTACAGGCATGAGCCACCGCACCTGCCCTAGCTTTGGCATTATTTTTATGGAGCACTTCCGTAATCACTTCTCACAATTTGTCAATTATTCAAATCACCTTTTCTAGAGGAAAAAAAGTACTATACAACTGGACATGGTGGCTCATGCCTGTATGTAATCCCAGCACTTTGGGAGGCCAAGGCGAGTGGATCACTTGAGGTCAGGAGTTCGGGAACAGGCTGGTAAACATAGTGAAACCCCCTCTCTACTAAAAATACAAAAATTAGCCGGGCGTGGTGTTGGGCACCTGTAACCCCAGCTACTCGAGAGGCTGAGGCAGGAGAATCGCTTGAACCCAGGAGGCAGAAGTTGCAGTGAGCTGAGATCACGCCAGTGCACTCCAGCCTTGGCGACAGAATGACACCCCGTCTCAAAGAAAAAAGTACTATACAACATAGCAACAGTCCATGAAATTCTTCTTCCCTAACTAGGTCATCCTGTCCTTTTCTCTAAGTCTTGCCTGCTGAATACAGGCCCTCTTCTTATTTCTGCTATACAAAATATTATTCACCTTCCAAGGCCTTATAGAAGTTCTGTGTTCACAATTCATATATGCCAAAGTCCTCCAGCTCAGGGTGGCTTCCCCCTTCCCTGCAGATGCCGTATTCTTTGTCACACACAGACCTCAAACCACCCCTCAGGGTTGGAGGACGGTGTGCTCAAGGGCCCATTGGGATCCGTGAAGATACATTGGCACTTCTACTTACATTTCTTTGTTCTCACCCTTTTTTACTCTTAGGTTTCATAATGTATGTAACACTTTTTAGGTTAATAATGAACACATCTGGGGATATGTACTCACTGTGTTTTACTAATCCTAAAAGTTTGAAGACTACTGGTATATACAACTTTTGGTCAATGAATCATGTATGGTCCTGTGACACTTTGGAGTATTTACCTTTCATATCACAATTGCAAAGGTAAGAGGTTTTCATCTTGATAGAAGGTTCCATGACTTGGAGTTCTTTGCACATCTCACCTAACACTGGTAAACTAAGTAAAAATGTGGCTGCTGGTACTGTGGCTACAGATACTAGTTGTGTTATTATAAATAATAGAAACATAATCCTGTGGCATATGATTGGGCGATACCTTAAGTGCTTTGCGTTTTTACCTACAAAATTGCATTTGTTCTTTGTCATAATCTAATGGAGAAGGCAGAGAAAGCATTACTATCTCTACATCCCAACTGGCTCTGTTGCCAGGCTGGAGTGCAGTGGTGCAATCTTGGCTCACTGCAACCTCTGCCTCCCGGGTTCAAGCAATTTCCCTGCCTCAGTCTCCTGAGTAGCTGGGACTACACGCTCATGCCACCACGCCCAGTTACGTTTTTGTATTTTTTAGTAGAGACGGGGTTTCGCCACATTGGCCAGGATGGTCTCCATCTCCTGACCTTTTAACAAACCTTTGATATTAATATAATAGAATATTACTGGCAGTAGGCTGGACACAGTAGCTCATTCCTGTAATCCCAGCACTTTGGGAGGCCAAGATGGGTGTATCCCTTGAGCTCAGGAGTTCGAGACCAACCTGGGCAACGTAGGGAGACCCCATCTCTACAAAAACGTTTAAAAATTAGCTGGGTGTGGTGGCATGTGTCTGTAGTTCCAGCTACTCAGGAGGCTGTGGCGGGAGGATCACCTGAGCCCAAGAGGTCAAGGCTGCAGTGAGCCGTGATGATGCCACTGCACTCCAGCCAGAGCAACAGAGTGAAACCTTGTCTCAAAAAAAAAAAAAATTAACATGTCCTTTTCTCTAAGTCTTGCCAGCTGAATACAGGTGCTCTTCTTATTTAGTAAAAAATAAATAAATAAATAAAAAATAAATAGTAAAACATAAATAAATAAATAAACAAACAAACTCTGCAGTGAAGGTGGGGTGTTTGGGGGAGGGAGTGGATTATGTTTTTGTTTGTTTGGGGTTTTTTGTTTGGTTTTTTGCTTTGTTTTGTAAATCCAACCTGGTAGTGTTCCTTTTCATTTTTATTTATTTATTTACTTTAATTGACAGAAGGGGTTTGCTTTTGCTTTTATATCTGAGAGGATTGTTTGCTTTTCTTTTTCCAGAAGGTAGTACGGTACAATGGAAAGAGGGTGATCTTAGAAGCCTGAATAAACATTTGAGGGTTTGTTCATTTGCTTGGTTTTTGTCTTCAATGCTTATCACTTATCAAGACTCATCTGTATTTGAAGAGTTTCTTTTCTTGACTCCACTGCTATTCAAGATAGAAGTAGGAACTCACACTTCCACCCAACCTTGCAGCTAAGATATGACTCCATGACCTGAACTCAGCCAATCAGACATGACAGTGCATAAATGCAGATGCTGGTGTACCAGTCAGGCAGGTTGAGGTGATCTCCCAGGCAGCAGTAGCAGCAGCTCTGGCTTAAGTGTTTACTGCCCGACATTGGCCTGGCGAGCTGTGCTATCTGTGCCCAGCAAAGTGGGGAAGAGCAATGGTATCTCTTGTGGAGCATTTCTGTGCTGTGCATTGGTAAGTATTCCTGGAGTACAGCCTCCAAAACTCCAAGTCAAAGAGACCCTCCCAAAGATAATATTGTGAGATTTAATAAGTTCCTTTTCTGCTTCAACTAATCAGAGTGGGTTTCTGTAGTGATCTTGAGCAAGCTGTTCACTCTGAGTCTCAGTTTCCTCATCTGTAAAATTGAAAATAGTAATACCTACAATTGTTTTAAGAATCAGCCCTAATGTACATAAAACATTTATTCCCATAAGAGCTTGCAAACTGGTCAATATCATTTGCATTGTAAACAGCAGTGATCCAGACTTCATACATCTGTACAAATGACTGAAGTGAAAGCTTTTCAATAAATAGCCTTTACAAGTCTTTACATGGCCAGGTACTGATAATACAGAAAAAGCAACAAGAAGAATTTACATTCAGTACCTTTGGATCCAGGATGGTTCCAAACACTAGGATGAAGAAACCCTGGGAAACACAGAAGAGGGAAGAAGAGCCATTTACAAAAGAATCATGATGTTAAAACATACTCTTAGTTATTACCAATTCCTATTTCAATAAAATGAAAACAATTTTATGAAATCTCTTAATTTGTCATCCTTAGCTCACAACACCTAGATTCATTCAATGAATATTGATGAGTGTCTTCCATATGGCAGCCACTGTAGAGGTACCTCAGTAAACCAAAGAGACCAAGGTCCCTACATCATACAGGAATATTTTTTAAATTTCCTTTTACGTTGGACAAATTAAAAGTGTTTGCACTTAGCAGGAGGTGGGCCTCTCAACTGAATATAATGATCCAAGAAAGAGTCAGAAGAGGTGTTGGGCAATGAACTGCAGGCTTGCTGTCCCTGAACAATAAGTAAGAGAAGCTTCCACAGAAAACAGCAGAAACAGCTGTTGCTCAGCTTCCCATAACACCTTCAGCCTCCTTCTCTCATCCACTACAAAGAATATTATAAAACTTCTAGAGAAAAGTCAAGTGTTTACATTCTCAAAAAATTAATGACATTAAATAGGTTGAGTTTCTAAGCACATGACAAATATTCCCAATATGATGATATAGAAGGAATTAATTAGCTTTTATATCTTTTATTTTCCATACCAAAAAAACCCCATATAAAACCCAAAACAGGCTGTTCCTCTACAGCTATAGTCCATTTGAAGTTTTTACTTCTTTTTCACATACACTGGCACAAAACCCCCCTTGACGAAGGAAGGGCAAGTTGTAGTTCCATTTTTCAGTTAAGGAAAAGGAATTTCCTTTTTGGCATTCAAAATGTGATAGACAGGAACATTCATTAGACAAAAATTTCTCCTAAATTTGCAGTTACTCCGTCCATGGTGCATCTGAAAAGGGAGGTGAGATCATGACCTTTTATTTAGGAATAGCCTTGCTAAGCTGCTCTGACTTCATAAGTGAGTGTGAACTCTTACCTACCCAGAGGCCTGTTGAGGTGCATGGGTTGTATACAGCTGGCACCATAAAGATGTTACAACCTGGTATTCATCGCTGAGAACAATACCAAACCTACCGCTATTTGGTAAAAGCCCAGATGAGAGGTGGAGGACCTTACAGGGACCAGTGTACATCCTTGCAGCTAATCCAGCCCCCCAAACACACTAACATACACCTTTCTCTTCAGCCAGTCCAACTCTCAAAAGCTTAATCTCCATATGGCTTTTATGAGATTGTTCTGTGTAACATTCTGAGCCTACAAGGTAATTATTGAAATCTGTTATTGTATCTGCTACAAAAAAAATTATTGTTGGCATGGTCTATTAGGTTGCAAAGTTATCATTCTTATAAGGCCCCTTGGGACAAATATATTCCAGCCTGATTTTGGTACTAGGAATACATTTCAAGTCAGGATCTCTGTGAATTTGGCCCAGGAATTATATTTTTTAAAGATCTGGGAACAACAATTCTAGCATGTTTTTTCCACAAATATGCTGATGGCTAATATTCTTTGGCTAAAGAACTAAGAGGAATTTCTCTCCTTATAAGATTTTTAATTCCTTGGGGTTGGTCTATCTATATTTGTATCTGCAACATTAAGCATAATGCTTTGCACAAAATAAGTAATAAATGTAGTGTCTCTTCATTTGAGTGTATGTATGTGTTTAATTTCTTTATTATGCAACCTGCACTTTTATAGTTATGTAGCATGACTATAAACATGACTTTATAAACATGTAACAGGGAAATACTCCACTAGGATCACTTTTTGTCGGTCCATGCCACCTTAGAGAAAGTTATGTCAAATATCTTTCAGAAGATTTGGATAAAAAAATTGGCCATAAAGTTTAGTATCTGGTTGAGAAGGGAAGAGAGAATATACCTAACAAACAATTCACCAGTAGCAGCTTCTTTGCACTTCTTTTAGTAGGTAAAGCACAGTTTGGACAGGTAAATCTCAAGGTGTTCTCCCAGGTTTTGGTATATGTGCTTTATTTTTTTTCCCACAAAAACAGCTATGAGGGAGTCCCAAAAACTCACCCAGCCCACAATTATTCTCAGTAAATACAAGAGTAGGATGCCAACCAGAAGTTATGGATGAACAAGGCGGTTAATCGAGGCAGCAACTGACACCATAATAAAACCTCTATAGTAAAGGGGATGGTTGAGCTTTAAAACTAGTGCAGATATTCCCCTGGGGCTAGGACCAGGAAATCTTTACAGGAGTCTTCCTCCCACATCATCTGGGCTTCTCAATATGTTTCAGAATCGCTCCCCTCTGTCTGCTCCATCAGCCTCTGCTGCTGCCCCTCATCTCTTCTCATCCTAAGACTGCACTTCTCCTGCTTTTTCCACCCAGTTGGTTGAGTCTCCCATCTCAGTAGATCCATGGCTCCTCTCTCTCCTCCCTCAGTGGATGCTCTGATCCAGTGATATGCTAGTAAATGGCAATAAACTCTCCTCATTTGTAGTGTTTGCCAATCTCTATAGTTAATTACACCCACCATGGCCTATTTGAATCTTGCCCTGTGACATCGCTGAGCATGGATTTAGGAAGAGATGGGCAGTAGCACATCGTTGTACAGATTTTCCACCATGCAGACACAATAGAGGCAAGTAACCTCAAGAGAAAAGGTAGACAAATAATTAGGAAGTGATGAGTTCTGAGGATACATGACCTTTACTTTTAACCTAATTTGTTTAATTGCAAGTCTATATGATTTAATTGTTATTGATGACTGTCTTCACAACCAGCTCAGAACAATTGTGAAAATATAATTGGCAGCTCCCGTGAGCCAATACAGGCCAGCTCCAACACAGCACTGCCCAGTGCCCCCCACTGGGCCTCACTGACACTTTGTTCTCAGCTCCTCACTGCCCCATCTGTACTGGCGCTTAGATAGACCCCTCCCTGTTCCTTACTGGGATTCAAGGCAGAAACTAAATTGAAAGCACAAGTGATCCTATTATGACAGATAAAGGTGCTCATGATATCAAAATGCAAGTGCTCACAGCCTTGTCCAAAACAAAGCTCACAGATAAGATGGCCCTAAGGGAGACAAGAGAAGGAAAATGGTGTGGAATGAGTCATGAGCTCATGAGGGGTTTATGAAAAATAGGGGTTTTACCCAAGTCTTTTCAATGACTAGTTTTGTAAACATGCGTAAAGCAACTGATAAGTACCAAAAGCTATACAAATGTAGAATACAATTAATATTTTCTATAGAAGTGCAAAAAAAGTAGAGACTCAAAATATGAGATACCCCTATTATTATTAACATTGCTCTTCAAGACATCAAAGCATTTATTATAAAGTGAAATCATTTATACATAAATTCTGAAAAGGGAAAATGAGAAGATACTTGACTTAAGATATCTATTAGCAATTAGGTAAAGCATTTACTTGAAAATAGTCCTACTGGCTACCGCACACATTCAGAAAAAAAGACAGTGTTTTAGATATCTTTAGAAAAATAAAAGCTTTCTTTTCAATTAGTTACTATCTACATATTAACATTCAATATAATAAACTTTGGATCATTCACATACTATAACACAAAACAATGGAGAAAAATTTCAATCAAGAAGGAAATTATTGAATATGGAATGGTATGCAGCCATTAGAGAAATATTCATGCATAATGAGCTGGTAAAATTCTAGAGCATATTTTTAAGTGCAAAAGCAAGTTACACAATAATATACATTGTTTTAACCCGTGTTATGTGAAAATATGTTTGTATAAGCATAGAAAATTTGGCAAAGCATACACATGAAACTGTGAACGTTGCTTAATTCATCTAAGTGTGATAAGAGAAGAGAGGAGAAACTATCTTCAATACCTCTCTGTAGAGCTTGCCATGTTAAAATAAGATGGTTTCCAATGGTAGTTAAAAATCCTAAGTGGAAGGAAATGTAATAAATGTGCAAACTTTAATACCTCCAGCTACATACCTAAATTTTGGGGAAGGTGTTATTGCTTAATTTTTAAACCATAACAACTTAGCCTATTACTAGGCTGTCTATGGTCTTTAGATCATTTTAGTACTTGATCCTTTCCCATTCACCATTTAATTTCACTTTCCAAACACCCCTATAAAGTGAACAGTATTGCACTCATTTTATATGTGAGGAAAATATGGCTTGAAAAAAGTTGAGTAAATATCCCAAGATCATGTTATACATTATTAGTAAATGAAAGAGTCAGGATCCAAATCCAGGTATCTCTGGAACAAAAGTTTATTTCCCCACTCCATATGCTATTCCAAATCCATTGGCTTTTATGTAGAAATCTAATGTCACAAGCACCTAATCACAGAACATCTTCATGAATTCTCTCACTTTGCACTTGGTCAGAAGCATCTGGACTTACCTGGAATGCATTGAGCAGGGAGAAGATAATGTGGAAGGCCAGGGATCTGTCATCGATGACAGTGGCTACTCCAAATCCCCAGGTCAGTCCCAGAAGTGGTGTGAGGATGGCGATGTTCTTGCTGATTCTCACAATGGCTCTCACTTCCTGGAACATGGAATTGCCAATGGCAGCTCGCTGGGTCTTGACAATCACCAGTGTGACTGTGATCAGGTTTACTACCACGATGGCCAAAGCTGGGATCACGAAGGCCAGGAGGGCTTTGGTCATGTCCCAGTTGAGCCAGCAGATCTCAGGTCGTAGATAGCCTTTGCCAGGTTCAGTGGCAGCAACAGTGATGGCAGCAATGGCCAAAGGGCATCCATAGCCCACTGAAAACAGAGATGCCACCAGGACTGACTTGGGCAAGGTATGGAAAACAATCATGATTCCATAGAGGATAAGGAGTGCCTTGGCAAGCATCCAGAAAAATACAGAAAGGTAAAAGAAATGAACAAAAAATGTGGCTGCCACACATCCCTTGTGGTGTGTTATTGGGCCACTAAGAAAGGAAGCCACAATGAACCACACATCTGCCATCAGCAAAGTGGCTGCAATGTTAACAATGCACACATGGCGTAAATAGGTGATCTCTGTCTTTGTCACTTGGCTCCAGACTAGGACCTCAATGGACAAGCAAAGGATCAGGCTGCAAATAGAAATGCCCAGGCCTACATATGTGATGTAAGTCAGAATCAGACTCTCTAAGATGTGAGGTGACATAAGAATTGAGAAAGAGGTAAACAATTTGCTTGGCCTACATTTGCAAACAGCTTGCTGGGAGTTTTCTTGAATCATTTTGCAGGCCTGCTGGTCCCATCTGTTCTCCACAGAGTGCCAGCCAACACACTGTGTCCTCCTCTCCTCTGACTTGCTGATCTTTTCAAAAATCAGTGAGATTCTTTTAAGTTCCTTGGGCAAAATGGCAGACAGGACAAGCCCATTTACAGTAACATTTTCCAAAAGACTGGCTTCCAAAATAGCCCCAATAGTTGGAAATGCAATGCTGATGACCTGAGAAGGGGAAGGCACCTTCCGAAGTTCATCTCTGCTGATCAACACTCTCCCAGTGACTTCATTGCTGGTATCATTAATTCTCATAGAAAAAGTGAAATTTTTTCCAATGTTATCTCCAGATATGGTGGTGCCCATAGTATGAATGAAGACATCTGATATGTCAACAGGATGTTTATCTATGAATAGCCTTCTTGCAAAGGAGTTGACTGAATGTAGCAGGATATAGCTGCTGTTTCTGTCAGGAATGAAAGTCCAGTTGGAGATGCTTTTGCTGTTAAGAATGTGGTTGGCTATGGTGCTGTAACTCTGCCAATGAAGAACCAGTGTTAGTACTGAGCCACTCTCTGAAACTGCCAGCACATTCAACACTCACCTTTATAAAGCGTGCTTCTCCAATCAGCAACCTAGGCATACTCTGGGAACTTCTTAGCAATATAGAATCTCAGGCCCCACCCCAGACTTAATGAATCAGAATCTGCATCTTAATAAGATACTCAGGTGACTTGCATGTACACTGAAGTTTGACTTAGATGATAGAGCTACAAAGGAATTGCCTCACCATGCCCTTCTCCATTTATGCAATGGCCTCCTGCGAGCCAGGCCACTGGGCAGCTTTCCACATGCTCATGTCCATCATCCCCTCCATATCACACCTAGTCGAAACTAGCAACTTGCTTACCCTGCTCAGAGAACCTATCACGTGATTAACCTCTGTTGCATCCCAAATGTGTTGCAGGGCCCTATACAAGAACATAATAAATTGGAAATTCACCCTGGAGTCTGAATCTACTTTTTACTATCTTTGCTTTGAAGATTAAAACCAAGCAAAATGGACCCCGTTCTATTTCATGCTTCTGCAGTGGATAGGTATGGCTGTTTTCTTTGCCTTCAATTATTTTCCATTTTAGCAACCTATCCTGACTCACAAATGAAAATAAGAAGAGTCTTTCTCTCTCCAGAACATAGAATGTTTCTTAAATGTATTCAGTAGCCAAAAGATACATCGGTAACTCATACTCCAAAGTTCAATACAGTACCAAGTAAGTGCTCTCTATAAATATTTGTTGATTAAATGTTTACTTTTTCCATTCACTTATTCATCCTTTCTTTAATGAAGATTTACTGAACACTTGCTTTGCTAAACATTAGAAATACTGATGTGAAAGACATGGTTCCTAGTCCCTAAGAAGCTCACAGAATACTCCAACAAACCTGCATTCCTTTCCCACTGAGATAATGCTCTACCAACTATTCAGGGACACTCACCTGCATCTTTGCCTCATCAACACCTGTCCATATTGCTGTTGATATGTTGTGTAAGAGCTGCACAATTACGGCAATGTTTCCTGGTATCCAGGGAGACTGCTGAATGTTTCTAATTACACAAGACAGATCTGTGGGACACTTTTGTAGCAACATATCTGTTATGGTCTCAGACTTTCCAGTATATACACTTATTTTTATATTGTCTTCAAATGGCTGAACCAAACGTGAATCCTCCTACAATATAGAAAAAGAAAGAAATTTTTATATTTTATTTTTGTGTTAAATGTAAAAGTACCTTTACTAAAACTTAGGACAGCCTAACATAATGTTTTTCTATTTTACACTCTCAGAGTCACATCTGCTGTGAAATAACTTGACCAATACCAAGTTGTATGAACCAGCAAATAAAAGTCCCTCCTTCCCATCTACCTATTCCTTAACTCCCCTCTCTCCGAATAACAACTGTTATCTTCAGCATATCTCTTCAGATAACCTGTATATATAGAAATTTCTAGTGGCATTTAAGCTTATTTGTAATATTTATGAAGGGCAAATCATGAGCCATGAGTCTGTCTTAAAAATAGAAATTTGAAACTCGAGTTGGATGAATCAACTGGAACACCAAGATTGAAAATAGCAATAGAAAGTATCTCCCATAGATTCAGACTCTGGTTCCTACACTTTACGGCAGGGGTGGCAAACTACAGACCCAGGCTGGCTGCCTGGTTTTTGTAAATAAGGTTTTACTGGAATGCAGCCCGCCCATTCATTTAAATACTGTCTACAGCTGATTTCATGCTACAATGGCAGAGTTGAGTAGGCATGACAGAGACCATGTGACCCACAAAGCCTGAAATATTTCTCTCTGTCACTTTCCAGAAGTTTGCTGACCCTTGCTTTAGAGGACTCCCTTCTGGCCCTCCTGCAGCCTGCCCCTTCACATGGCCAGGTGTCCATGGGCACAGACTTTCAGATACCCAAAGTTTAGAAGGCTATTTTTGCATAGAAAGTGAGGCTAGTGGGTGCTTATCTATTCGCCCATCCCTACATGCTGCCCTGCTACATGGTCGTCCTCTTTCTTACTGAGGGCAATATCCACTGCCAATGGGAGGCTCCACTGTGCTCATAGAGTCCACATTAGAATCTATATTGCAAAAGAAAAGATATTACCTCAAAGATGTTGAGGGCATTAAGAGTCTGGCAGGTGTCAGTGATCTTGTGCCATGTCTTTTGCCTGCATGAAAACCCCATATTTCCCTGAGTGTCTGGAGGGCAAGGTTGAGTACACTGGGAGTAGTCTGTACAGACACCATCGCATACACCTGGGAAAATGAAAGGAGACCATATCAGATGGGAAGGTCTGGGCTCTGGGCCCACTGGGCCAATCACCAAGGTGTCACTGCAGTGACAGCACATAAATCCTGCAGACATCAGTGTCTTCTTTTCCTAAAGTGGAGGAAGACTGAAATGGATCAGTGGTCATCATCTATTTCAGCAACAAAATTTTATTGTTTCCAACAAAATCTTATCCTGAACTGTAGTGTGTAAAATAGATAAAAGTGGAACACGGCCAGGTGCGGTGGCTCATGCCTGTAATCCCAGCACTTTGGGAGGCCGAGGTGGGCGGATCACGAGGTCAGGAGTTCGAGACCAGCCTGGCCACATGGTGAAACCCCATGTCTACTAAAAATACAAAATATTAGCTGGGTGTAGTGGCACGTGCATGTAATCCCAGCTACTCAGGAGGCTAAAGCAGGAGAATCGCTTGAACCCAGGAGGTGGAGGTTGCAATGAGCCAATATTGTGCCACTGCACTCCAGCCTGGGAGACAGAGTGAGACTCTGTCTAAAAAACAAACAAACAAACAAAAAAGGACTGTCCCAGGTGAAGTGAGAGGAACGAACCCACAGTGCAGTCCACTAGTTGGAATCCACTGCTTCCAATGTTTGCTAAGAAGCCTCTCAGCTCAGGAACTCTATAATATGTTACATCATCAATGAGTTCTCACAGACCTGTTCTAGCCACTGGCCCAGTTTGAATGGGCTCAATCCAAAGGATCTATGGCAAAGAATTCTTAGACAAAGATGGAGCAGAGGGTGCTGGGAGGAGAGAGGAACAGGGCTGGGGTGAAACGTACAATTTACTACCTGGTACTATGCTCACTACCTGGGCGGGATCATTTGTACACCACATCCCAGTGATACACAATTTGCCAATGTAAGAAACCTGCACATGTACCCCCAAACATAAAAGTCAAAAAGAAAAAAACCACAAAGGTACAATTTAATATGAAGGAAAAAAATCAGAGTCATCAAGGATTCCATCTGCCATGCCACAGGACAGAAGGCTGAGAATGGCCCTCTATTACAATAGATGGACAGCAAAACTTCCATGTGATAAGTAACTGCTGCCAACATACCGTGTGGCCTGGCAGGCACCTTCTCCTTGCTTTTGCTTGCAGCCTAGAAAGGGAAAATCAAAACTCGCATCAAAATCAATTGTTGATATGCCAGCCCAATGGCTCACTTTAGTCACAAACAACCACAGTTAAATTAGCTATGATACCAGCATGGCCCACCCAAAGCCGAGTCCATGAATTATGGCTCCTCTGTGACCCCATTTTCCCTTCAGCCTGGACCACATTCCTCTCCCACTGCTACTCAGTATGAGCACTCCTCTCTCTCCAGTAAGAAAAGTCTATGTTCTATCCAGGAAACACATTATGAGCAGAAGTGGATTGACCAGGAAGTTGACAAAGGTTAAGCCTCAGAGTCCCTTGCTCGTATGGGACATTTTGAAGCCCTGGGAGAGGGTCTAGCAATGAGCAGATTGCTCTCCCCTCATGCTCAATGAGCAGATCATCTCATGTGTTCACATGATCATATGTTTTATTAAATTCTCAAAAGCAAAATGTTTTAACTACCTGCCATCTGTTAAGATCATCATTTTTTGCCATTTCAGTGTTCTGCCTCCTTCATACTCTCCCTCATTTTGGGTATCACCAGAGAAGCCGTATCTATTCATGGATTCTGGACAAGTTAAGCTGGGATACATTTAGTTTGAATTTAGTCGGATATACTTATGTAGTTTCCAGTCACTTCTGCATTACAGTGAGAACATCAACACTTAAGTGACATCAATGCTAAGAACATTTACAATTATTCACAGAACAAGAAAATTCTAAGTTGCCTGATATCTTGCAGCTCACATTTGAAATAAATTGGATAGAATTTTCCCAAATTTGATAACAGTCCTACATGTTTACATGCCATTACTAATAATAAATTAGAAACTCAAAGATACTTCTCTAAACTAGCAATAACAAGAAAAAAAATTTGATCAATAATGCTGCAGGAAAGACTGAATAATATTTCTATTCTCTCTATAGAAAAAAATTATAAGATCATGCAAGTATGCAGTCAAAAATGTAAGAACTAAAAGGTGGGCATTTCATTAATAAAAATATTGTTTTATTACTAAACAATGCTAAACAATACTATCCAGCATTTCTAAATTTGTTGTGATTCCTTTTCTCATTCTAAATAAATGTTCACTTTCCCCTTAGTTTTGTATTTGTAACATTGCATTCTTTTTCCTTAGGAGGACTCCTCCAAAACCTAGCTCCCCCATACCGTGAGCATCTCCATCACTCCTAATTAGAACCCCCTCTTTGTCCCATCCATCGAGACCATACCCGACCTTTCACTAAGAAAGTGTCACATAGTGGTCAAGGGATGTACTCTGGGAGTAGACAACCTGGGTTCAAATCTCAACACCAACATTTGAGACCTTGGGAAAGTTGATCCCTCTGAGCTTCAGTTTCCTCTTCCATAAAGTAGAGTAAGAACTATAGTACTATAATTGTATGATTCTTGCCCTAGAGCATGTTTATGAGGAATAGACGAGCTCTTCTATGAAAAGCACTAGGAATGGGCTCTAAGAATACTGTAAGTCTATTTAAGAATTTACTACTGTTATTACTCTGCACATAAACTTACTGAATTTCAGTTACATACAAAGCTCAAGTTTCCCCCTTCCAAGAGGTCTTTCCTGATCCAGTTCTGCACATGATACATCTTTTCTTCTGGCTCCTATAGGAATCATCATCCATACAGCCAAACACACATTCAATGCTTGGCATGTTCTCACCTGACCTGCCATTTTGCTATCTAATCTTTTTTGTAGAAGCATATTAGCTCCTCAATTAAATTACAAGTTCCTTAAGAACATGGACTGTGTATTGTGCTCCAGTATATTCCTCCAAGTAGCTAGTTCAGTGTCTTGTACATATGTGTGTATGCATATATACATTTTAGTATGCATATATATACTGACATATATGTTCATGTGTGTATGTGTGTGTGAGGAGCGACAAAAAGACGGTTTTCTTGCTTCTGCACTGGAATAGTGTTTCCTAGTGGCTGAGAAGAGCCTTAACCCAATTACTCCAACTTGAGTTCCAAGTTCTAATCCATTGAGGAAGAAATTGGAAATTCACTAACATAGCTCTGTGACTAACTCTTGGGGTTCATGCCAACTCATGGGGTTCTTCTTCACAACCTTACTTCTCTCTATGTTATCAAGAAACAAGGCTGAATATTCCCTCTTTTCTCTACCAAATAAGAACTTATGGGGAATCTGAATTGAGCTTTTGGGATCTCTCCAAAGTCAAGAAAGTATCACTGAGGATTCATACATGAGAAATCACTGACAGAAGATGACTTCTCATTTTATAGTCCAGAGAATCAAGCCTTATCTTATACGTGGAAGAATTAAAGTTCTTGCACCAAACAAGAACGCTAAAATAATATCTTCAGAATTTTGGAAGACTTTATATATCATCCAATCCAGCCCTCTTATTTTACAGTTAAGGAAAATGAGGCTTGATGTTGTGGTGATTTGCACAAGGCCATGTAGGAAATGCCCCTTACAGCTAGGACGAGAACTTAGATCTCCTGATTCCTACAATACTGCCTTTTCTAAACAGCCGGCCTATGTTCAAGTGCAATAGGCAGAGGGGACGAGTGGAAGGAAACATAGGCATCTCAAGATACTCAAAACCCATCTCGATAAGACCATGTTCTTCAATACATTGTGATAAATGCAGTTATAAGTCAACAACTCTGGATGATACTTGGTCCATTAAACACATCCAAGTGAAGTCACATTATATTTATCATGTATGTGGGCAGAAAGCCATGATATTCTGTTTACTTGGAGTTCTGAAAACTTGGGCTTCTTAAGGAAAGGACCTGATTAATTTCTTCCCATCTAAGTTTGCCAAAGCACATCGCATACTCCTTTGGTTATTTCATTTCTAGTGTAGCATCCAGTATAGATCACTTTAGCTTTGGATACCAACAGTCCCCAACCTAATACTGTGAAAAAAAGATACTTGCAAACCGGCAACCTGCTCAACCTGCTGAGCTGCCTGGGAGCATAGGCAGGTCAGGAGCCAGCAGCATCAGCAACTCAGCAGCTCAGCACCCAGCAGCTTGTCTAATGAGAAGAGAAGGATAGAATGTTCCCAGTAAGGTAAATCCCAATGATCAAGAGAAACAAAGCCAACCTCCCATGCTCTGCCTACTGTCCACATTCTGTCTTGCAGAAAAGTGTGAATGCGGAAATGGAATGAAGGGAGGAAATAGTAACAAGCTGTAGGGTTGGACAGCCTTCAGGAAATGGTCTTTCCAAGAGTCTCTAACTTCTCCCGGAAACCAGGTACCTGTTTAGTATTAGTGGGGAAGGGGAGCCATGGAGAAGATTCCCATGCAAAGACAAACTAACTTGAGGATAAAGTAAATATCATTTGAAAAACTCTTGGAAGGAACTTCCAAAGTCATTTTTTTCCTAAGAGGCTTTTGTTAAGAAGACATATATTAAAATGGAAAGATCAAGAAGCCGAGAATCTGAAAACAGAGGTTCTGGCCTTGGCCCTGTAACTGAGTAAGTACGTACCTCAAGCAAATCACATCCCACACCATGGGTCTCCATCTCCCTAACCGCAAAATAAGGGAGTGGAGCTTCACCAGTTGATCTCAAAGCTGCCTTCCAGAACTTGTGGTCAAATAATAGTACTCTCTTCAGAAGATGCTCAAAATGTTTTCATGTATCCTCTCTCTGTGCTCCTCTACAACTTATTTTAAATGAGTAACTAACAGGGAAATTAAAATGACTTATGGTGTCAGGAAAAATATTTCAGAAAGAGCCATAGGGCCTCCGTCCTACAAAATTTAAAAGAGTCCATTGCCAGAAACTCCGTCCCAGTGAGACCTTGTTTAACCACTGCCTGAGTTGCTCATTGCTTCTTCTAGCCCATTCATGGTGTTCACTATCAGGTTTCTTATGGGAGATGCTGTTGCCATTTTGGATGGGACAATGCTTCATTGTGCCAGGCCATTCCTAGGCCCTGCCTCTAAATGCCACTAATACCTCCTGGTCATTATGGCAACCCTTAACACCTCCACATTTTCAAGTGCCCCCAGGAAATGGTACCACCCTGGTTATGAGCAACTGAAACATTCACTATCAGAAGATATAGAACAAAGTATTTATTACTCTTAAATCACTTGAGCCTCATTGCATCTCAGGAACTCATGGAAAAAAGTTGAGAGAAAAGCAATGTGTAGCTATTGGTTAAAGTGGGTTTTGTTTAGCTGTAGTTGCAATTACTTCTGGCTGGGCCAGTCACTCTATCACCATCTTTTCCCTATACTTCAGCTCTCTGGTAACCCAAAGCTGGTTAGCTGATGGATTTTATTGCCAATTTGCTTTCCCCACCAGTTCATCCTCCACTCCTTCCCCTTTTCTTACCTGATACAATGTCCTACAGGACTCTGTGGGCAAAAGAAACACCAAGTAGTACAGCAAAAGTATATGAGTCATTGTCTTCCACACAGCTGACTTTCTTGTTTCTATAAAAAGAAATAAAAAGGCAAAATGTCTCCAATTTGAAGCTTTCATAGGTCCCATGCCACTGCAGACCCAGTCAGTTCACCTATGAGACTGGGCTGTCTTCCTCTTCCGTGCTGTCTACTCAGACCTTTCTGCTCCAGAGGCAGTGTCCTGTGGCCTCCCATTGACTTCGTTCTCTAGGAGGCTGCAGTGACAGCACAGGCAGCATTGGGAGACACAGGCAATTGCTGAGATATCCCCCACCCTCTGCTGTTGGCTTGCACGTCACTCCTAACATGAGAACCCCTCCAAAGGAAGCTACTGCCTGCCAGATTTCACCTTGCCTGCATGGATATAATAAATAACAGCCTATATTCAGGGAGCAGGAATGATGATTCAGTCTCTGGGTTAGGCAGGGCTGAGAAATCTGTGAATGGCTACAGTAGAAGATGAGCTGGGGTTCCTATGGGCAAACTCAGCCTAGAAATATCTTTTGAAGAGGCTTGGCCTATTATTCCTCACTCCCACCTAACTCTGGAACTATATGTTCATAGGTAATCTGTGATTTCTTCAAAACTGATCTTGAGCATGGTCTGTTATTGTTATTTCTACCAGAACTGATATCAAAACTAAACTGATTCCTTGACACCTAGAACAGTGCTTGATACATGGTTGGCACACAGTATATTCAGTAAAGAAAGAGGAAAGTAGGGAGGAAAGATGGAGGGGAGGTGGGTGGGAAGAGCTCATAATTTGCATCAAGGTCTGTGCTCTGTAGAGGACTCACCTAAGCTAAGAAATTTAATATTACACTTTAATAATGTTAATATTTTTTATCTTGAGTTGAGATCATTCTTGAAAGCTATTTGCTGTCTCTTCACTTTTAGATAAAAGGATTCAGAAGACTTGAATGTCATCAACAAAGACCAGAAGCAATCACAATGGTTTATATTTGGTATTTGACCATTTTTAGCCAAGAAGAACTCTAGCCCAATCATGCATAATTCCATAGGAAACAATGTCATTATTTTAAAGACTAGGCAAAATTCATTTTCCAGTCACGTTTCCTCCATTGAAATACTTGCCTAGCTAAAATTCCACTGAAATTCAATGATTATTTAAAATATTTTGTATTGCCTATCTCAGCCTATTATTAATACAGCTGTCCAAACATTTGTACTTCTCACACAAAGAGGCTACTTTGTTAATCATCACTTTACATGTATTTTGTAGCAACACAGATGGACACACAATTTCAAGTAAAATTGCCAGCCATATTTTCATCCTTTATTCCTACCTAAGTTAATCAAACAGATGAAAATTATGGTATAAAAATCATCAAACTGACCTATCAGAATCATCACCAATGCAATTACTGCTTTGGGCAAAATAATCAAAATTAGAAAAAATTAAAGCCATTGATGAATTTGATGACATAATGCTCATGAAACCTAAAGATGACTCCACGTTTTTCTGAATCAAGTTGATTTTATCTTTCAAAATTCTCATCATACAGAATGTTCTTTTTCTTAACTAAAACTAATTCTAAAAAATGATTTAGGGGATGACACAAGACAACAAACTGTCATAATGTCAGCATTACTCAGCACAGAAGCTCAAGTAGATCTTTTTAAAAAGAAGGTGTATGATCAGCTGAGTTCTGCAAATCAGGATGAAACTCATTCTGTTTGCTTAAAATTTTAATGTAATATGTTGAAAATCTGTTTATTAAATTGTCATTTTGCTTTGCATTTTAAATACAGTTGTTATAATTTTTATCAAAAATGCTTTTGATTATTACTAAAATTACATTTCTGTTATGTCCAAATGAGGGCTTTGTGATCTCTGTGGAAGTGACCTTCATTGTACTTTGCAGTAGTATGGCCTTTTTTGATAGTTATGTTGCTGCACAGAGCCCAGAAGTTTTGAACATTTTCTTTACTTCCCAAGTCTACCTTGAAATAAAATAACTGAGGACCACAACTCTGACATGCTGTCTTTTTCCACATTTCAGCAACAGTGTGATTTTAATTTTCAGCATATTTTTTACCTTTATCTAATTTATTTTAACTGAAAGAAATATTTCTTAAAGTTGACCTTTTAAAAAACTTAGCCGATAAAACTGATTGCTCTTTACATTAAGTGGTGTGTTTTAATCTGGGTTTGAATGAAATTATTTTTCTTTCAGAGTTGTTGACATTAAACCATAGTCATTAGCTTTTTTTCTAGTTCCATGAAGCAGAAAGTTTAAAAGAAGCAAAAGCGTGTAGTGGCAAAACAGTAGTGTGACTCTAATCTTTTGACCACCCACCTCCTATCTGCCAGATCCTCTGTCCTCATTTTCTTGTGAAAAGCCACAGGGGTCTGGTGGTTCTGACTTCCCTCCCCCGGGTCAGCAGGGGTAACTGGAGTATAACTCTTGCCTCTCAAACAAATGTTTGAAATGTTGGTTTCACATGTCCTAAGCTAAAAAATTCATTATAGACATTTATTTCAGAAAAGGCTTACCTGTCAAGAACATACAACCTAAAAATAAGTCACTTCGTGTGATTCATATTAAAATAAATAAAGCAATTTCATTAATATTGCAATTTCCTAAGGTGAAATGTGCCAAATACAAAAGCATTAGAATTTTTTTAAAGTAAAAATTAAGAAACTATTTTCCCTCTCCCTTATTTAAAAAAAAAAAAAAAGCGGGGGCTGGGGAGGGGGACAAAAAAGGGAACAGCAAAGTATACTAGTAGAATGTTTGGATCTACAAAGGAATAACATTTCCAACCCTCCAACCCATTCTCTGCTTTCCAGACCTAGAGAAGGTACTTAAGATGTTAATCCATGTGTTTGTTCAACAAACAAAAAATGAGCTCCTTATGTCTCAGCAATGTCCTAGCAGCTAGAACAAGGATGGCATCTTTTTGGCGGCCCCTCACAACTCTGGGAATTCACAGTATGAGAGATCTGATGCACACCCGGGGTGGCTGGGAACTTGGACTGGGGCTTTCTCCCTAGAGACTGTAAGACTCTAAGAATCAAAGCCTGTCGAATCAACATGACAGGAAGCATTCCAAAATTCCAGATTCCACAAAATGAGTCTCATCTTTGTTAGCAATTTAATTTCAGAGTATCTCTTCCTGTTTCTGTATAGAATGTCTGCACCTAAAAGCCATACAGTTGACTGACCACAGGCCCAGCTCCCTAACGTTAAGACAAAACAGGCAAAAGGAAAACATGTGAGCTGCAGGCTGGGACATGTTCGGTGTTTGGCTCCTTTAGAAAGAAAAAAAAATTGCTTGACTGAAACACACACACACACAGCAAGTGTGTGAAACACACACACACAGAAATGGAGACAAGCAGTTTTATAAGACAATTTTGAAAAAAAAATTTAAAACCTCTTCTCTGACTTAAGAAAAAAAAAGTATTGAACTAGAAATCACAAATCACAGTAATCCAAAAGGTAAACAAAACTCCAGACAGAACTTTATCAGCCAACCAGAAGGATTTCAATCACCAGCTTGGTCAGCTGACAGTCTGCGGCTGCTACTTGCATAATTAGGCTTTGTAATGAATTACTGAGACTTCAAGTGAGATTTCACAAAGTGCTGTAGAAGTTCCCAGACAGACTGTAGGCATACACTTCAGATGATCTCAGGGATGGAAGATTACACAGCATCTGTCATTAACCATCCCACTGCTTTCCCTTTAGTTAATGACCAATCCATCCCTCCTGCCTGAATACAGACATTATGGAAGGGAAAAGAATAATGAAGCAAACAGTTATTGTCTGTTTACTCTTTAGGATTTGAACCCAGGTCTGTAACTTTTTTTTAAGTATGTCATGTGGCTTTTCCAAAATAAGAAAGAGCTCATCTTTGGTTTGTTTGTTTGTTTGTTTGTTTGTTTGTTTTGAGGCTGAGTTTTGCTCTGTCACCCAGGCTGGAGTGCAGTGGCGCAATCTTGGTGAAAGAGCTGATCTTCGAATGGGGTTTAATTTTTTCAGAGCATTTTCACATACTGGCATACCTAGGAGATATTGTAAATTCAGTTCCAGACCACCGTAATAATATAAGATTGCAATAAAGCAAGTCAAAAGAATTTTTTGGTTCCCTAGTGCATGTAAAAGTTGCGAGTACACTATACTGTTGTCTATTAAGTGTGCAATAATAGCATTATGTCTAAAAAATGTACATACCTTCATTAAAAATATTTTCTTGCTAAAAATGTTAACAATTATCTGAGCCTTCAGCAAGTCCTAAACATTGTCCTGGTGGAAAGTCTTGCCTCAATGTTGATGGCTGCTAACTGATCAGAGTGACGATTGCTGAAGACTGGGGCGGCTAAAGCAATTTCTTAAAATATGACCACAGTGAAGTTTGCCACATTGATTGACTCTTCTTTTCATGAAAGATTTCTCTGTAGCACGTTATGTTGTTTGATAGCAGTAGAACTTCTTTTAAAATTGGAGTCAGTCCTCTCAAACCCTCCTGGTGCTTTATTAACTAATAATATTCTAAATCCTTTGTTGTCATTTCAGCAATGTTTATGGCATCTTCACCAGGAGTAGATTCTACCTCAAGAAACTGCTTCCTTTTCTGATCCATAAGATGCAACTTCTCATCCATTAAAGTTTTTTCATGAGATCACAGCAATTCAGTCACATCTTCAGGCTTCACTTCTAATTCTAGTTTTCTTGCTGTTTTCACCACATTTACCATGTTACTCCCTCCACTGAAGTCTTAAACCCTCAAAGTCATTCATGAGGGTCGGAATCAACTTATTTCAAATTCCAGTTACTGTTGATATTTTGACCTTCTCCCATGAATCATGAATGTTCTTAATGGCATCTAAAATGACAAATCTGCCGGGTGCAGTGGCTCATGCCTGTAATCCCAGCACTTTGGGAGGCCGAGCGGGCAGATCACCAGAGGTCAGGAGTTTGAGATCAGCCTGGCCGACATGGTGAAACCCTGTCTCTCCTGGGAAAAAAAAAATTAGCCGGGTGTGGTTGTGGGTGCCTGTAATCCCAGGTACTTGGAAGGCTAAGGCAGGAAAATCACTTGAGCCTGGGAGGCAGATTGCGCCACTGCACCCAGCCTGGGCGACAAGAGCAAAACTCCATCTCAAAAATACAATACAATACAATACAATACAATGACAAATCCTTTCCAGAAGGTTTTCAATTTACTTTGCCTAGATCCATCGGAGTCACTATCTATGGCAGCTATAGCCTTACAAAATGCATTTCTTGAATAATAAGGCTTTAAAGTCAAAATGACTCCTTAATCCCTGGGCTACAGAATGCATGTTATGTTAGCAGGCACAAAAGTAACATTAATCTCCTTGTACATCTTCATCAGAGCTCTATGAGTGACCAGATGAATTGCTCATTGCTATGAGCTGTAATATTTTGAAAGGAATCTTTTCGTCTGAGCAGAAGATCTCAACAGTGGACTTAAATATTCAATAAACCATGCTATAAACAGATGTGCTATCATCCAGGTTTTGTTATTCCATATAATTATAGAGCACAAGCACTGCAGATTTAACATAATTCTTAAGGGCCCTAGGATTTTCAGAATGCTAAATGAGCATTGGCTTCTATGCAAAGTTATAAACTGCATTAGCCCCCAACAAGAGAGTCAGCCTGTCCTTTGAAGTTTTGAAACCAGTCACTGAATTCTCTCTAGCTATGAAAGTCCAAGATGTCATCTTCCAGCAGGAGGCTCTTTTGTCTCCATTAAAAATCCATTGTTTGGTGCAGCCACCTTCATCTGTGATCTTAGCCAGATCTTCTGGTTAACTGGCTGCAGCTTCTCTATCAGCACTTGCTGCTTTACCTTGCATTTTTATGTATGGAAATGATTCTTTCCTTAAACCTCGTGAACCAACCTCTGCTAGCTTCAAATTTCTCTTTTGCAGATTCCTCACATCTCTCAGACTTCACAGAATTGAAGAGAGTTGAGCCTTGCTCTGGATTAGGCTTTGGTTTAAGGGAATGTTGTGGCTGATTTGATCTTCTATCTAGACCTTTCAAACTTTCTCCATAGCAGTAAGTCTGTTTTTCATTCTTATCATTCATGTGTTCACTAGAGTAGCACTTTCAATTTCCTCCAAGAATATTTTCTTAGCATTTACAAGTTGGCTAACTATTTGGCTCAAGAGGTCCAGCTTTCAGCCTATCTCAGCTTTCGATATGTCTTCCTCATTAAGCTTAATCCTTTCTAGCTTTTGATTTAAAGTGAAGGACAAGCGACACTTCCTTTCATTTGCACACTTAGAAGTGTTCCCATAGGAATACCCATCCCACAGGAGGGATTGTGATTCTCATTTCTGGGCCGAGCCCAAATGTGAGATTGTTATTCCTATACCTGGACCCAGCCAACAGGAGAGATGTTGACTCTGATATCTGGACCCAATCAACAGGTAAGACTGTGAATCTCATACATAGACAAGGGTCACAGAAAGCATTATGTCTCTCGAGCCTATAGGAAGGCATCAGGTGGGATCGTGACTTTTATTTCTTGACACAGCCCAAAATTGAGATTGCGTTTCTCCTACTTGGACCCAGCCAACTGGTGGGATTGTTATTAGTTGGCCTAATTTCAATATTGTTGTGTCCCAGGGGAATAGGGAGGCCTCAGGATAGGGTGAGAGATAGCTGGTCGGTGGAGAATACACACGATCTTAAGTTCATCAGCTAATATGGGTGTTTGTGGCACCCCAAAACAATTATAATAGTAACATAAAAGATCACTATTCACAAATCACCATAACAGACATAATATGAAAAAGTTTGAAATATGAGAATTACCTAAATGTGACACAGAGACACTAAGTGAGCCCATGCTGTTGGAAAAATGACACCAGTAGACATGCTTAATGCAAGGTTGCCACAAACCTTTAATTAGTAAAAAAATAAAAATAAAAATAATGCAATATCTATGAATAGCAATAAAGCAAAGTGCAGTAAAATTGGTTATGCTTGTGTAACTTTCATCTTGACATCATAATAGTTTTGTGAGGTAGGTATAGAAAGTATAGTTTTTCCTCTTTTATGAAAGAAGAAATTGTGGTTCAGATGTTAAGTGGTTTTCTCAAGGTCACACCTCAAGTTACTGGAAGAACCAGGTTCTCTTTTGACTTCTGACCAAGGCTCTTTGAACTCTATCATACTTTCCAGGTACTCCTGTCTGTCCTCATTGGACATGCAAAGTGCTGGTCATCATCTCTAGCAAGAAGAAGAAGAAGAGGAGGAATAGGAGGAGGAGGGAAGGAGGAGGAGGAAGAGGAGGAGGAGGAAGAGGAGGAGGAAGAGGAGGAGGAGGAAGAGGAGGAAGAAAGAAGGAAGGAGGAAGGAGAAGATTAATGATGTTGTGGTTTTCATTATCCCAAGTGCACATTTTAAAAGAGATTATCTAGAGGCAGCCTCTCCAGCAGTAGGAAGTATAGGCACTACCTCAGGTCAGTAGACCAAATTTTTGACAACCAGGCTGACTCTCTATATTCCAAACCATACTCACAGAGCTACCTACTCATATGTTTGGGGAAGCCCTCAGTTTTCCCCAGAATCCCAGTTTTTTAAACTGTAAATTGGCTGGGTGCAGTGGCTCATGCCTGTAATCCCAGAACTTTGGAAGGTGGGGGTGGGTAGATCACTTTGAGCTCAGGAGTTCAAGATCAGCCTGGACAACATCGAGATTAGCCTGGACAACATGGCAAAACCCTGTCTCTATGAAAAATACAAAAAATAGCCAGGCATGGTGGTTCATGCTGCAATCCCAGCTATTCAGGTGGCTGAGGCTGGAGGATCAGTTGAGCTCAGGAAGCGGAAGTTTCAGTGAGCCAAGATTGTGCCACTACACTCCAGCCTGGGAGACAGAGTGAGACCCTGTATGAAAAAAAATAATAATAATAACAATAAAAAAAAAATAGAAAAACTTTTTCATGTTCATTGGTTCCTCTGAGGATTGGCCAGTTTCTCTAAAGCTTCTGCATTGGACACTTTCCCCTTTATGCATGCAGGTTTCAATTGATGCCAGGTAATAGATGATGACTCACATCTGAAATGTAAACAGTAAATAGGGATGAGCATGTGCAGACGGCAGCTGTGTCAGGCACCTGGTGAAGGTGTGCCTGAGACTCATCCACGTTGTGACTCACCAAAAAGCCAAAGAGAGAATTTCATCTGACTGTCAGAGGCTGCCAGGATAAAGAAACTAGGAAAATATACAGAACTGGGTGAGGAACTCTAAATAACCAGGTAAAGCCAAACTTTTACGGCACTTGCAGCACTACTAGAACTGTGTCATACAGAAATAACTGGAAGCACAGAAAAAGGCAAAGCGTACAAGGCTGCTCATGGCAGTTGTATACAGAGTAGCAAAAAAAAGAATATGGAAAGTATAGATGTCAAACAATAATATAGTAGATAATAAACTTATAAATCTATATAAAGGAATATTATGCAAACATTAAAAACCATTATGAAGTGCTTTGATAATATTAGTATGAGATAGTATTATATCATACATTATTTTATTATATTATATAATATTATTTTATAATATTAATAAGAAAAGCAGTCTATCAGATGCTCATCCATAGAAAAACACTGGTGGGATTTCTCACCAACCTGGTAATGAATTAAAGAACATTTTCAGCATCTAACAAAATATTGAAATTACTTTAGTTGTAACAAAATGAGAAAAGGGGCAATCCAAAACTATTAAAGAAAAGAAATCAGAAATCCTGAAATGGAGTAGAGTGTAGCAGCAGAGCACAGATCCTAAAGTTTATTCTCCTTTTCTGTTCCCTTTAACCAAACTATAGAGTAGACAAAATCTTTAGAAATGTCACTAATACTTAGAAATCTAGAAAGAGGCAAAATACAGCAATTATTTTGTTTTTCCTCATCTAGCTGAGGATTTTAAAATTGGATGTTAGGGATACATTGTGAAATGGGGAGAGGGAACAGTGAAACTGCCTCTTTCTGGTAGAAATGAAGACTCCTGGGCCATACCTAGAGTCAAAGAAACAACTCAGAACCTTAAGACATCTGCCACTGGCATATATAACCCACGAAAATGGAGTAAGTCCTGATACCATGCATTTAACAAAATCGCAGTATCAGAGAGCTAAGCCTAGGTGGGTGGGTTGCCCTCCATTTGTCCCCCATCACCCATTGGAGTTATTCTCTGTTCTTCCACATCCTACTCTCTGCCCCAGGAAGCTAGCCTCGGCAGATTGTCTTGACTCTGGCTTCCGATTGGCTTATTCCAATGGGAGTCATTGGCAGGAGATGAGACGGTGGGAGGATAGAGAGATGAGGAGATGTATTCATTTTCTCTCCCTGCACGGTCACATTCCTAGCAGCGGCTGCTTTTCTCTGACTGCAGTTCCTGTTAGGCATTCTCTCTTAAGCCTCAGTTGGCACCTGGCTCTAGTAATTCCCTCCTCTGACCTCCCGCCTCCTCAGGCCTACGAATCATGATGGCTTTCCACTCCTGCGGCTCCCTGTTGTTTGCCTTGTTGAGTCCTTTAGCCCTTCCTGTAAAAAAAAAAAAAAAAAAAAAAAAAATTCCTCTGTAAAAAAAAAAAAATACCTCTGTAAAAAAAAAAAAAAAAAAAAAACAACTCTTCATTAACTTCTCTTCAGTTTCTTATTTTCAGCTAAATCTTCTTCAGGAAAACCCTATGGAGAATGCTATTTGTTCCTGGGAGCTTGCCCAATATACCAGGTGTCAGTGCTGCTGCAGAGAGCCTCTTCCTCCTGCTCTCCCCTTACACTGCAGAAAAGGAGATAGAGCACAAAATGCCCAGACCTCAAACCTTACCCTGGTAAAGAATGAAGTAGTGTCAGATACGGAGAGAGAGGAGTCAAGAAGTCATCTTCTGGGCCGGGCGCGATGGTTCATATCTGTAATCCCAGCACTTTGGGAGGCCGAGGTGCGCAGATCACGAGGTCAGGAGATCGAGACCATCCTGGCTAACACGGTGAAACCCCGTCTCTACTAAAAAAAAAGATACAAAAAATTAGCCGGGCGTGATGGCGGGCGCCCGTAGTCCCAGCTATTCAGGAGGCTGAGGCAGAAGAATTGCTTGAACCTTGGAGGCAGAGTTTGCAGTGAGCCTAGATCGCGCCACTGCACTCCAGCCTGGGCGACAGAGCGAGACTCCGTCTCAAAAAAAAAAAAAAAAAAAAAAAAGAAGTCACCTTCTGTGTATCAGAGTAATTTAAGCACGAACAATATAAAAGGAGATGCATCCCAACAATGCTAACACATTATAGAGAAGTGTTTTGGAGAAAAACAAAGCAGCAGAGCTTAAGTCAAAAAACCCACCATAAAAGTTAATATCACACACATGCACATACGCATACACATTTGCAGGGAAATTCTTCACAGTTAGTTTAAGATACAGAACAAGATAATATGAGCATTTTTTTATTACATGAGTTCAAAGAAGAAAAGATAAAATAACAGATCAAGATAACTCTTGAAAAATCAAAATACTATCATGAAATTCATAAGTAATTAGGAGCTTGAAGAAAGAGACATCAAATAGAAGCAAAGTATCAATATAAAGTGAAGATTTGAGGTAATCCAGCAGAAACATTTTAATGACAGAATCAGATTTCATTTTAGAAAGATTATTTTGCCAACAGTGCAGTGGGTAAGTCAGAAGGCAGAGGCCAGAACCGGGACGTCAGCGAAGAAGACATTCCTTAGTCCAGATGAACAGTAACAAGGACCCAAACCGAGGCAATATCAGGGAGATGGATTCAAAGAAGAAAAATGATGGAATCCGATGCCCGAATGAGAAAGAGAGAGGAGTGAAGAGCAGAGGCTGTTATTAACTTTGGAGAAAAAGACAGTAATTTTGAGGGGAAACGCATATATGAAAAGGGTAGCAAAAAGAGATGACATTGATGTTTTTCGAGTAAACTGTTTTGAGGCCGTTAATGAGAAGATGAAATAGAGAAGGAGGAGCAAGTCTGGAAACAAAGAGAAATAAGGGAGTTAAGCTGATATTTAGGTAGCATTTAGCCTGAAATATTTGTTTTTAGATTTGTGTATTTTCATTATGCAAATATTTTCCTGAAGCACTTCTACTATTGTTCAGATTTCAGTAGCCTTCATCTTGTTTTTTCTATAAAAACCATGTCGCTATTGCAACTGTAGGACACGTTACTCCATGATGCCTCCTACTTCTGCAAAAACACCCAGCACTACGTCATTCACATGAGTGAGGACTCAGAAATGAGAAAGCCCAACATAAATACGTAATAGTTCTAAAAATATGTGCAAATATATATTCGTATATATTGGTATGTATAACAGTTGTATGTATAATAGTTGTTATGGAGAGCTTATAACAGTTCATCTCAAAAGAATGATTCCTGACCTATCAATGGCTCTAAAAACTTTACATTTGAATGTTTACATAGTATAAACTATCATAACTGTGCTCACTGACGAGTAATAACTATTTTCTTTTTGACAAAATCAGGATATTGAAGTGAGAAATTTTAGGTAGCATCTCTACTCTGATCACATGGCTGTAGAGGCACTAAATATGTGGACCTCTTGCCTCAATGGCTTAAATAATTACACTAAAATATGCATACTCACCCAACCAGTCATCTTTTAAAATTATTTTACAATTTGGAGTTTCAGATTATTTGTGAACTTTAGCTCCAGCCCATGTTTGGGTTGCTCTCTCTCTCTCTCTTTCAGTAGATATAGGAGCACTATGAATAATTATTTGTGATTAATTACTTCATAAATGAAGAGATAAAAGTGTCCCCAAATGGATGTTCAAAAGTAAAAAGCAATATGAAAACAAGGGGCTATCTAACCCCTAAAACCACCAGTTCTCCATATTGGAGCCACATTTCCTACTTTGTTTCCTTACTTTTCACATTCTTTCTAGTATTACATCTGTTTTCTCTGTATTTGCTTTACTTCTTGCTAGAATATATCTTTTCAAACTTTTTAAATGAACATCTGTGGTTGAGAATTCTCTTAATCTTGGTATGTCTGAAAATACCGTATTTTACTCTCATTCTGGATAGCTAAACAAATGAATAAATGGTCAAGGTATCAGTGTTTCTATTCAAAGGGTGACTTGTTTACAATTTGTTTCTTGAGCAGGAAGAAAGTTTTGCACCAAAGAAGTTTTGAAATGGTTTTTCCAGCATGAGATCCCAGAAGGACAGCAATGAAGGAGAACTGAGACACAGAGGCTCAGGAAAAAGAGAGCATTTCAGAGGCACAGCCAGCATTTTGGAGGAAGTCATGGCCATCTGAATAAACCAACTAAGAATCCTTACTTAAAGTCTAAACTTATGACAAGTACACACAGATTGTGACTGCGTCTAGCGGCCATGAAACTAGCGAAACATGAATGCAAATGTTTTTGTTTTTGTTTTATTTATTCTTTTTTTTTTTTTTGCATTATAACCCATGCAAGGTAACACATTGACTTTCAGTTTAAACTAGATCTCTTCTGATCAATTCAGAATTTCCTCCTTCTTTTCCTCTTCCTTTTTCTCCTGGGATAATATTCTGGTATCATGAGAAAGACATCCATGGATGAAGCCTCCACAGTGGTAGCTTCTGACAAGAGGTACAATCATTGCTGGCTTTTGGGCATCAGTACTCAGCCCTGCTTCGCCCACACTGAAATAGCCGTGTCCCACTCTCCTCTCTGGTAGCCAGCTCCACATAGATCACATGGATTCTTTGTTTTCTCAGTGGCCAAAGACTATCTGCCTGGGTCAGGTCTGGTCTCCACCACTTCTCAGGGATATGGGAAACTGCCCGTCCCTCATTCTGTGCTCTTCCTTCTCTCTCTCTTTGCTCTGATTGCTTCAGAACTCACAGAACCTTTTCATCTCCCAAAGCCCAGTTCTTGCTACAGGAAGCCCAGTTCTCTTTTCGGAACCGGCTGAAAACATGTCACGACTTAGGCATTTGGCATCAGCATTATGTTTCTCCTGTCTTCCCTTAGCAGTTCCACCCCACCAAAGCACACGATTCACAGTCCTCAGGAAATGGCCCTGGGCACAGATATCAGTATCTGGATAATCTCTTAAAATTGGGTGTGTGTGTGTGTGTGTGTGTGTGTGTGTGTGTGTGTGTGTGTGTGTCATTGCTATAGAAGAATGGGCCAGTGAAGAGGTATATTTTCTGAACATTTTTTAAAGTTCTGAGCTCTCTACCTCAAAGGGTTATCACAGGTTTTTGTGATACACAACCAAAGAAATTGCCAAGTACCCAGAACTCAATTCCCACCCAGGCTTTTGTTCTTGTACAAACACCTGGCTTAAGAGGTGTTCCAATTACTAGAAAAAAGATAGGTATTTCGGGCAAGGAAGAAGAGTTTTCCTCCTGGTTTGAGAAAGGGAAGAGGTTATATAAACTCCCTAGGTATCAGCTCCCGTACCACGGAATGCCTGTAGAAGTGAGAAGACATTCATGGGTGACTCAGCGTGTGAAGAGAACTGAATATATATGGAACTCAAATGCCTTTGAGACCCAAGGCATTAAAGACCATCATAAAATGTCTCCGTGCCCAAGCTTGCACAGAAGGGATAGTGCCACTCTCTTCCAGCTGCAATGATGACTTGAGACTGCTTTAGACTCTCCAAATTCTTCCTAGATCCTTGGCAGAAGACAGCCTCTCCAAACACAACGCCAAGATGGAATTTCCTCAAAAATATTTGTAGGAAATCAAAGGGCAGTAGGGAGGACTCGTTCTATTAACTGATTTATAACTGATTTAGAATCTTTGAGGAAATGTGATATTTTAAAAGCCAGATGTGTTATGAGATAAAATGTATACCTGCTACAAATAGAACATTATGCCAAGCAGTGACCTTCATAGTATTTGCTAATATGCATCACCTAATGCAGAGCAACTTTTACAACTTCCTACTCTAATATGGATAAGATTTTTGTTTTTGTTATCAAACATGTTAATTTGTATTTTGCGATCCAAAACTTTCAGATTAACAAAGACCAATTCTCTGTTATTCCATTCTTTTGAAATAGATATAATTTGAAAAAACAGCGGTCATAATAAGCAATGGCTTTGTCTTATCAACAGCTGGATGTTCTCAAATTCAGCAGTTCAGGACTCACTTTGCATTTCTGTTAGAGGAATACACTGGACTCCTATTATCATTATTACATTTATTTTCCTAACTACCCCCTCAGCCCACCCATCCCTGTCTGGAAACTGCTTACCCATCCACATTTCCTGTGTGTGCAGCCAGCTGAACAGTGTACTTGGTCAGAGCTGACTGCATTAGGGGATGGCAGTTGATCCAACTGAACCCATCCATCCTCACCCCAGGAATTTTGAAATTTGGACAAGAAGAAAGAGATGGGACTCACTCTCTTTGTCAAGAGAAGCTGAAAAACCCAGCAATCCATAGCAGTGATTTCCAGCTTCAATCGTACATCGGGATTCCCAGAGGAGCTTTTAAAATATACTAGTGCCTGGGCCCCACTTCAGAACCATTTAAATCAGAATTTCTGGGGCTGAGGCTCAGACACTAATACATTGCCCCAAACTTTTTATCTTGAATAATTTAATTACGACTGAAAAATGGAAAGAATAGAACAGTGAACACTTAATATCCCTTCACCTACATTGTGCTGTTAACATTTAGGATAAATGGTCTTTTAAATTCCACAGATGATATTCATATACAGAACTGAGAAAAAACCCTAGGTGATATTAATATGTGATTGAGAACGACCTAACTGTAGAAAGAAGGACAGAGCAAAAGGAAGCAGATGCACCAAGAGGGGCAAAGATCATAAAGAGAGTCCTGAGGCCATTCAGACCCCTGTGTCTCATGCCCTGTGTTCTATGAGATCTCCGAGTATTACTAAAATAAAATCACTTTTGGGGCTTTAGCTAAGGAGTTGTTCATTGCAGTCAAAAGACTCAGGAGTTGTTCATTGCAGTCAAAAGATTCAGGAATAATAGGCAGAAGCAGTAGGTTCTATAGCCTCGTCCCTAAATAAAAATAAAATCAGGGGTTTTACTAGCCTGAGAGATGGCTGTTATGTTAAAAGAAATATATAAAAATAACAAACCCGGAAGCCATCAATTCCCAAGATAATGGGACTGATAGATCATTGCTAAACTATGGTTTTTTGGAAGTAGCCACTGTCTCCTGAGGTAGACTGTTTCCCACTAGTGAATTAAATCAAATCTCACACACACAACAGCAGTAACAAGGAGGGGAAGGTGGCTGTGGGCCTGGTCTGCCCATATCACCAACCCATGTCACTGACATGGGTTAGAATTACCAGAACATGCTGATGATAAAGAAGACTGATTTTCAGTTGGTTCTATTATCTTTTAGACATGTTTAGAAATATTATTCTCTATAGGAACTGCACCCCGTTAATGCCTGAACCCAGGGCAGGTGACTTCCACTGACAACCCCTGTGCTGTCCTCCCATGTCCAATTTTAGAAAGAGCAACCGGTTACCAGGCCTGGTAACTGAATCCCCTGATCTCATTATCTGTGAATAAGAGGTCTGATTTCTGTTCACAAGTTTCTATTCATTTTTCAAAAAAGACAATGATGTTGTAACTCTATATTATGCAAATATTATTAGAACAGAATTGTGGCTATATTATTTTAGGATACCATCTCTAAGGACATAAAGTACAAGTTTTGCAGTCTTTTAAGGCTAACCACTTGCCCAGAAATATATTTGAAATTATGCATTTGAGCTACCAATAAGTGGATTTTTTGAAACTATAGGACTATGAATGAATTTTGAAAGAGGAAACGTAATAAACCAAAAGTAATGTGGGAGAAATTCAAGCATCACTTTTATCTGTAAGTTCACTTTAAGAGGGAAAAACACATTTTGTCAAATTTCAAAGGATAAACAATTTTAAGCAAAACTAAACTTTTAAAATTCATATTCAACAAATACTGACAAAGAATCAGAAAAAAGAAAGGAATGAAGCATCAATTACACTATTTTAAAGAATAGTATAAAAAACAATGGAACTGTAGTTACATCCCCACAATACAAAGAATGACACAATGGAGACAAGCTTAAGAACCCAGAGAAATCTCCCCAAAGTCTGCCTTCCTCTTGAGAAAGTATCATCTGAGAAGAAGAATGTGTAAGGCCAAGAGTTTTCATTGCCATAGGTTAGTCGTTGGTGCAGGATTTTTTGAGAAAGTACAAAAATATTACTCAGTTTCAAGAAGGGTTTGAGGCTAGTGATGCCTTCATAATAAGCCAAAATTGTAGATAAAACATGACAAGGTCTGATGAGGGAAAATAATCATAAAAATGTTCATTAACTTCTGCATTTACACCTAGTACCTTGGAGATTATCAGAAAAAAAGGTTATTTATAGGTTCCCATTTCCTGTATTCTGATCTTTGGATAAAATTAGTGGAGCACAGAAGAACAGAGAAGAATAAATGAAAACAAAAATATTTTTATACAGACTTGTGCTCTTATTACGTAAAGTGCCTTAAAGTTAATAAATTCCTTCTTATTCACTGTACATGTTCCCTTATTCACTGTATAAATTCACTTATTCACTACATATGTTATTAATTAAACCTCAAATTACCAAAGCCTCACAAACACAAAATCATGAGTGGCTGCTCATCTCTGAAATTCCTCTCCAAAGGAAGTCACTGGAAGGAGAAGGAGGACCTGGGACTACTCACTGTGGCTGGCCAAAGACAAACTCACCGGCAAATTTGCCCCACTCCCTGGCAGCTGGAGATATGGGCATTACTGGCTCTCTTCTGTCATACCTTGCTACAAATCACAGGCTGGGCTCTTGTATGGATGAGAGTCAAGTTAGCCCCGAATGGCAGCTCCCCAGGCTGGACCCTGCGGTTCCCATAGGCAGTCAGCCCCATGTGCAGGAGTGCTGCAGCCTGACAGACAAGTCCTGCATGGGAGTAGCTCCTGCAGTGGGAGGGGCAATGCACTGGAGAATGGATGAGTCACACCAGGTGACAGACGCGGACTCTCACAAAAAGCAAAGGCTCCTGTCTTGGGCAAGGGATTTAAGACTGTGGTGGCAGCACAGGATGTGTGATGCATGGCTGTAGCTCATTTGTTCTTACAAATCAGCCTGAGCCTAAAGATGAAATTTGGAAACCACAAGTGCCTCTGCTTGGGGCTCTGGTACTAGCTGGCTGGCTTTCTGGTTACTAGGATTATGGTGGTATGGTTCCCTAATCATTCCTATCGGTCTCCAGTTGCAAACACAAGGTAGCATTGTGATTCCTCACCTCCTTGTGGTCAGTGGGGCATTTAAGTAATTCTGCATGGTGCCAGCAATTCAGAATAGTAGTTACTCCATGAGACTGGGTCCCTGAGTGACCGTGATAAGAAGAGGTCCCTGCTAACACATGACAACCATAAGAAAGGATTACTTCTTACTATTCTTACTCCCTGAGATTTGGGAGCTATTTGTCACCTCAGCATAACCTACCCTATACAAGGACAAAGACTCTCAAAAAGCAACATGGTCAGTGACATATCTTTTTTTAAATTTGAAACACTCAAAAACTCTTTTTTTTTGTATTTATGAACTTCTTAGCTTCCCCAATCCCATGTTTGAAAAGCTATATCTATATTTATCTAGAGTGTGGCATTTTTCAAAATCTTCACGAAGTTCTCCTAATATACTGAAAGGCACCCCTTAATTTTAATCTCAGCATTCCCCCTTCCTCATTTTGTTTCCTTAGCTAGTCTTGATCTTCTAGGAAGTGGCCAGGGAAGGATGGGAAAGTTCCCAGCTGCTGTGAGTGCTGTGCTGCTATTTTTCTCTAATTCTAGGTCTGTGAATCCCCTTGAGGGCTGAATAGTACCCTCTTGAAATCCACTCAAGTCTGCTCCTCAGATGGGAAAATTCTATCTTTTAAAAAATATAGGTTGGCCACAGTGCCTCACACCTGTAATCTCAGTACTTTGGGAGGCTGAGGCAGGAATGCTTGAGGCCAGGAGTTCGAGACTAGCCTGAGCAACATAATGAGACCTTGTCTCTACTTTAAACAAACAAACAAAAAAAATTAGCTGGGCATGGTGGTGCACACCTGTAGCCCTGGCCACTCAGGAGGCTGACATAGGAGGCTCACTTGAGCCCAGGAGATTGAGGCTACAGTGAGTGGAGATTGTGCCACTGGACTCCAGCCAGGGTGACAGAGTAAGACCCTGTCTCAAAAAAAATTTATATATATATATATATATATATATATATATATATATACACATACACACACACACACACACACACATATATATACACACATATATATACATATATATATACACATATATATACACACATATATATACATATATATATACACATATATATATATGCTTTATTTTTTAGAGTAGTTTTAGGTTTACAGCAAAATTGAGGCAAAAGTACAGAGATTTCAAAAATATCCCTGCCCCCCCATACACACAACCTCCCCCACTATCAACATCTCGCGGTAGGTGATGCATTTGTCACAACTGGTGAGTCTACACTAACATGTCCTAATCAGTCGCATTGTCATTATTTATACACAAAATGCCCAGTGTGCCATGCATCTGTGGATATATCAATTTATATAAAATATGACCCCTAACCTCCCAGAGTTCACACTTCTAGTTGGAAGAAGAAAACACATAAATATGAAAAACATACAAGATCTTCTCTACTAATAGCTGACACAGTCACTCCCAACAATGGAGGAGTTGATGGAGGCTGGCCTGGTCAGGAGTCACTTCATGGAGAATACAGGGACAGACCAGGCCTTAAAGGACACGTCTGATTTACACTGATGAGCAACGTTTTGGTAGCAGGAGAGACTTGTTCAGTAAAGGTTTATTGAGCATCTACCAGAGATCAGGAATGTAAAAAGTGGAAGTGTTCTTGAAGATCATCCAAGCCCAGCCCCGCACAGCACAAATCAGGAAGCCAACCCAGCTATTATTTCCAGAGCTGGGACTCCCAACTTTTGAAAAGGCAGATGCTTGTACTGGCCTAAACCAAATGAAGCAGGGCTCCCAGCCATGGCTCCAGCCTCATCCCCGGTCACTCTCTGACTCACACATCATCCTCTGGTGATGCTGTACTGATGGCTTTCATCACATTGTTTCAAGCCTCCAAGCCTTCATGCCTGCCGTGTGTGCCCTGTGCCTAAGGGACATCCTTGCCACCTCTGTTCCCTGGCTGACTCCTTGTACTCAGTCAGATTCAACCTAGCTGTCTTAAGTCTCCTCCACAGCCCTACGTGAAACTGAGTACCGGTCCTTTTGCATACATCTGCCTTATTGCTGATTTTGTAATGCTAGAATCCAAATCATCCCCTCTGCAATCATCTCCACGAAGGCTGTGGCCTGCCTTGTCCTGCTCATCTTGCTCCAGCCATACAAACTGGCTCACATTTCTTTTCCTCTCCACTGGCCTTTGCTATAGCCTGAAAGCCTCCGCCCCTCTCTACCCATAACTTCACCTGGCTGACTCATTCTCGTCCTCAAGTGCCTCTTCCCCTGTCAGCCCTTCCTGGCCATCTACTCTGGCCTAGCTTCTCCCTTAGTGCCACCATGGGACATGGTGCACAAGACCGGCACCATCTCATCATCTAGGTTTTAGTTTAAATGTCATCTCCTCAGGGAAGCATTCTCTGAAGTGGCAATCATTATTTACCTACCCCAGTCCACACTGCCTTCTTCCTTGCCCAAAACTCAGATTGGATGACCCATGATTATTTTGAATGAATTGTGGTAATATAGATCTTCTTCGCTGGTCACTAAACTACATGTAGGCAGGCCACCATTTCTGTTCGATGAATTTTAGGGGGAAGTCTGCTAGGGGGTGTGAAAGCTTCTAGAAAGAACCTTTCCCTGATAATTAAAACAGCTACACTAGGAAGAAAAAATGTTATCTTGTCCCCATTCTCCCACCCCTTTTTCTCTTCTGGCTTTGGAAATTGAGAGGGTGTAGTATCTGCAGCTATGGCAGTCATTCTGCAGCCATGAGGAAAACATCAATGTGTTGCAAATGGGGGAACAGAGACATGGAAAAACTCTTGATCTTTGATGACATGACTGAATTACTAAATCCACACTGGGATCAATAATCTCTGCGCTCTTAAAATATATAATTAATAGCTCGAGGGCTTAAGCCACTGTTAGGCTTTCTGTTACTGTGGCCAAAATAGCTTAATTTGGCCAGGCTCAGTGGCACACGCCTGTAATCACAGCACTTTGGGAGGCTGAGGCATGTGGATCACCTGATGTCATCAGATCTGACATGGCAAAACCCCATCTCTACAAAAAATACAAAAATTAGCTGGTCTTGGTGGTGCACTCCTGTAATCCCAGCTGCTCAGGAGGCCGAGGCATGAGAATCACTTGAGATTGTGCCACTACACTCCAGCCTGGGCAACAAGAGCGAAACTCCGTGCCAAAGAAAAAAATATATAGCTTAATTTATACTCTTAACATTCAATCTAAGGTAACACCCGTCATTCTCTATAACATTTCACTGTTTTCCTCAATCTATCACTAGTCAAAAGTATCATGTTTAGTGGTGTGCTATTGGTCAATTGATGTATCTCACTAGAAGGTAAGGACCACGGAGGTAGGGACTTTGTAATTTTGTCACTGCTGTATTTCTGTCACCTAGAACAATGCCTGGCACTCAGTAGGAGTCCAATAAATATATGTTACATAAGCGATTGGATGAAAGAATACTTCTGTTGTCAATTCTTTGTTTTTTAAATCAGACTGTGGGCTCTTCAAAGTCAAAGAATTCATATTGTATTTTTATTTCCTCAAAACCCAATAGACTGCTTGGCATATAGCTGGTAATTATTAAATGTTCTATGAATGAATACACATGTTCCCTATCTTTTCTTCAATAGTCACCCAGCATATGACTCGTGGTCATTCAGTATTGGACATCTATTGGAAAAGGTGATTGATAAAGGAATTCTGAACTGTTGTTTCATGAGTATTTAGCTTACAAGAGAAATTTATGATATGATCTTAACCTGGCAAAACATCTTAGAATAGCCATGTGGACCAAAATTGCAGATTAAACTCTTCCAGTAATGAATAGCTGATCTCCACAGGAGGCAATTTTTCTAGTCACATTGCAATTGTATTTTTCCCTAAGTAGGCCAAAATATGCCTGTTTGTTATTGACAGCTACTGTCAACTTTACAGTCCTCTCTCAAGTTTATTCATCTTTAAAACCCAAACCTGAAACAAATGCCCTCTCCATGTCCGTACACAAGCAGTTGAATTTGGCAGGTATAAAATTACAGAACAAAGCCATCTACCATGCCTCATTCACCGTAAGGTGCCATTGATTATGATATTCCCATTGTTTTATGAACCATAAAGAAAACAACGGTGGCAATTAAACTATGAAACAATGCGAGGAAACCAACAATACTAGGAAACTATGGAACAGTGCTAGAATGCATCCCAAATTCTGAGGTTGAAACATGTGCATCTTAGAATTGATAAAATATAACATGGTAGTTTCACTTTAAAATAATAAATACAAAATTCCACACAGCTGGTCAACCCTGATATGATTCACTGGCCGGCTCGTTTTTCCATGATCCTGGATGACTAATTACATTCATTGGCTCTCCTCAAACGGTTGATGCAACTCTTCCCCAGCCTCACCTAATATTTTACAGAGAAAATCAAAGCCACCAGATGAGGATTTTATCTTCTTCTCGCCCCTAAACCCACGTTCCATCTGCATGTGCTCCAGCCTTCTCCTCCTTCTTTCCTGTCATGTGAGAGGGAGTCTCTGTCGTCCTGTCAAAATTAGTCCCTTCAGAGGAGCTCTGTCCCTATCTCCTCAGACATTCTTAAGGGCTGCATTTCTTTAGATTTTCTTCCTGTTTCCTGCACCATCAATCTCTCCCTCTACTATGGATAATGCTATTGATGTTTAAATATGCTCAAGTATCTTCCTTCCTCAGACAAAACAAAGCAAAACAAAAGTCTCCTTCGTTTTTTTGTCCTCTCACTGAGTCTGCCTCAAGTCTCTCTTCCTGGCTAAACCTTCTGAAAACTGTCCGCACAAGCTGTCTCCACTTCTATCCTTGCTGTTCTCATGCTCTTCATGCCATTGAAACCAATTGTATAAAGGTCACCAATGTTCTCCATCTTAACAGTTCTATAATTAACTCTGCCCTCATTTTGCTTGACATCTCGGCAGCACTCAATTCAGTTAACCATTTCTCTCTTTTTTGAAATATTTCCTTCTTTAATTTTTATTTTTTAAATTGTGGTTTAAAAATAATGCAAAATTTACCCTGTTAATTAAGTGTACAGTTCAGTAGCATTAAGTATATTCATATTGTTTTGTAACAGGTCTCTAGAACTTTTTCAGGCAATACTGAACAACTCCCCACTTCCTCCTCCTCCCAACCTCTGGCAACCACCTTTCTACTTTCTGTTTCTGTGAATTTGACTACTTTAAATAACTCATATTTGTGGAATCATACAGTAGTTATCCTTTTGTGACTGGCTCATTTCACTTAGCATAATGTCCTCAATACTAATTCATATTGTGACATATGACAGGGTTCCCTTCTTTTTATGGCTGAATAACATTCCATTTATATATCTGTCACCCTTTCCTTATCTACTTATCTGTCAACAGACATTTGGGTTGAGGAAACACCACTCTTCTTAAATTTGTATGTACCTCATTTTACTATTTCCTGTATGATCTCTTCTCTACCAGAATTCTAAGTGTTGGAGCTTCTTAGACCTTCTCCTCATCCCTCCTCCCCTCCATACCCCATTCCTCCCTTCTCTCCTCTCTCCCTTTCCCTGGAGGAGCTCACCCACTTCCACAGCTTGGATGTCCAGGCCACACTTCTCTTCTAAACTCCACATTCACACGTCAGCAAGTCCTGTGGTTTCTACCTCAAAATATATCTCACATCTGTCCATTTCTTTATACAGTCATGAGCCACAAAACGATGTTTCAGTCAATAGACTACATATATACTGGTGGTCCCATAAGATTATAACACCTTATTTTTACTGTACGTTTTCTATGTTTGGATTTGTTTAGATATACAAATGGTTATCATTGTGTTACAGTTGCCTACAGTATTCAGTACAGTAACATGTCGTACAGGTTTGTAGCCTAGGAGCATAGGCTATATCATACAACCTGAGTGTGTAGTAGGCTATACCATCCAGGTTTGTGTAAGTGTACTCTGTGATGTTTGCATGATGACAAAATCTCCAATGACACATTTCTCAGAAAGTATCCTCATTGTTAAGTGACACATAACTACATCTCCATCCAGTCCCAACCATCTTCCTCTCTGGCCTGTACTAACACAAACACTTTCTAATTGTTCTCTCTGCTTTCACCCTTACCCCCTTTCAATCTGTTTTTCAGAAATCTTGTAAATATATATTCAGTCACATGGCGTCACAGATTAAAAACTATTCTCATTACACTTAGGATAAGATCTGTGTGCCTCATGTGGCCTGCAAGGCCCGCCTGACGCAAGACCTGCCTGCCTCTTCACCCTCCTCCTGGGCCTTTTCTACCTCTGTCCATGCTCAACCAAGTATAAGGGCTTCCAATCAGCTCCTGAAACTTACCAAATGCCTTTCTACCTCAGGGCCCGTGTATAGCCTGTTTATTCTGCCTGGGATCACTGTGCATATCTCGTTCTCCCCAGCCCCTCACCTTACTGCTTTCTTCCACACACACACCCCACATTCTTTGTGCGACTGGCTATTTCTCCTCTCCAGGGTGCAATAAAAACTAACATGAGGAAAGAGAGCCTTAGGAAAGTGTGGATCTTGCCTCGTGTGACCCTGAGACTGAGGGCTTCCTTCAATGCTGTGTCATAGGCCCCACCTGCCTCACCCTAATCCAGCCTTGCTTCTCTCTCGGGTCTTAGCTTCAGTACCTCCCATGGAGGCCTTCACTGCCCATTCTCTCTAAGAGGTCTCCCCATCCTTCCAACCCACCAACTCCATAATCCTAAATTACTGTGCCCTGTTTGACTCCCTTAGTTCATGTATCTCTATTTATAATTATTTACACAGTTGACTCTTGAACAACATGGGGGTTAGGGGTGCCGGCCCCCACATGCAGTCAAAAATTTGTATATAACTTTTGACTCTCTCCAAAACTTAACTACTTATAGCCTGCTGTAGACCAGAAGCGTTACCAACAACGTAACAGTCAATTAACACATATTTTCTATGCTGTATATATATATTATATACTGTATTATTACAATAAAGTAAGCTAGAAAAAAGAAAATGTTATTAAGAAAATTAAAAGGAAGAGAAAATATATTTCTATTCACTAAGTGGAAGTGGATCATCATAAAGGTCTTCATCTTTGTTATCTTCACACTGAGTAGGCTGAGGAGGAGGAAGAGGAGGGGTTGGCCTTCCTATCTCAGGGGTGGCAGAGGCAGAAGAAAACCCAAGTATAAATGGGCCTGCACAGTTCACACTTGTGTTTTTCATGGCTTAACATTTTGGGATTGTCTCTTTAGCCTCCCTCTCCCAGGAAAATAAGAGCTGTACACACACAATAGTGTTTGTTTGGTTTTGAATGAATTTAATAGTTACAATTACTTTAACCATCCATCCATCCATGAGTGAACATGGCTTCAAACTCTCATCAATCTTCTGTTCATCTTCTTCTGCCTTCTGAATGGAGGAGGGGAAAAGGGAGGAAGGAAAAGGGTTACCACAGGACTCATATGGAAAATAAGACTTCTGTGGGTTTCTTTAATTTCCAAGGGTAAAGGATAATGCAAGGTCTACTAGACCCAAGATTCTTGAAAGGATCCAGAGAAATTTTAACATTTAAGCCAATATTCAAGATGCAAAGGTAATTTGATATGACATACATAATGTTGCTCTTCATACATAAGAAAAACATCTCACTTTTAACATGTCAACTGCCCAGAAGACCACCAGAAAAATCCATTGATCAAGCAAAGTTAAGGCTGTTAGATGTATTGTACATAGTAAGAGATGCCACTACCTGGGCAGTCTTAGTAAGTTTCAGAAGTAGGAAGTCGAGGGAGGATATTCACAGGGTTTTCAAGTCTTAAAAACTAGGAAACTAGTTGGGGTTGGGCAGAGTTCATGACATAATGGCTTGGATCAGTGTGCACTGCATGGACAAAGGCTTGAGCAAGTTGTGATAAGCAAGCTGTTACTCTTGATCATAATGTAGCAGGGCAAGCTGCAGACAAAACCCCTCAAACACCGAGTTAAAGAAGGAAGGGCTTTATTCAGCCAGGAGCTTTGGCAAGACTCACATCTCCAAAAACTGAGCTGCCTGAGTGAGCAATTCCTGTCCCTTTTAAGGGCTTACAACTCTAAGGGGGTCCACATGAAAGGGTTGTGATCAATTGAGCAAGCAGAGGGTATGTGACTGGGGGCTGCATGCACTGGTAATCAGAACAGAACAGAACAAGACGGGATTTCTACAATGCTTTTCCATACAATGTCTAGAATCTATAGATAACATAACCGGTTAGGTCAGGGGTCAATTTTTAACCAGGCCCAGGGTGTGGCGCCGGGCTGTCAGCCTGTGGATTTCATTTCTGCCTTTTAGTTTTTACTTCTTCTTTCTTTGGAGGCAGAAATTGGGCATAAGACAATATGAGGTGTAGTCTCCATTATTCCCCCACCTTTGAGAACCTCACTCATTAGTGGGAGTTCTCACTTTCATCCTCACTACCCATGTCTTCTTACAAGACAGATCGATAGTGATTCATGTAGTACACTTGTGCTGAAGTATTTTGATGGACTAAGGTAGTAACAAAACTTTTTATTACTTGAAGGAGTAAACGCAGCACACAGGGAAGCAACAAGCAGGTTCCTATTACTATTATAATTTTTATTATAGGAGTTTTAAATCCTCCTACTGCTGGAAACCATTTTCCAAACATGGACCTAGGATTAAACCTATGCCACTCCTGCATGGGCACATGTGCCAGCTTTGTTATATGTTTAACTACATCTTTAACTACTTGCCCTTGGTCATCTATGTGCAGACAGCAATTGGTCAGGTTAAACTTTCCATAGACCTCTCTTTCAGCTGTTAGCAAGTAGTCTAGGGCTAGTCTATTTTTATAGATAGCATTTCTCATCTGAGTTTCTTGCCAGGCTAAAACAGTTAAAGCTCTGCCAGTTTTATTAGTGATTATTTCTAAGACAGCTTGTAACTGTATGATTCGGTTGAGCATATAAATGGGGGTTCAGTATCCTTATGAACCATCTTGTGCTCAAGTGGCAGACCCATAGTACTATATGATTCTTTCAGGGGGCCGCTCGTCATCTTTCCAGTCACCTATAACTATGCTTCTCTTTTCTCAGGAAGCATAGACAGGGAAGCCTAGGAGCTCACCTGTTTTTATGGGCAGTAGGAAAAAGGATGGTTTAATGGTGCCAATAATACAACTACCTGCCTATTGGTCAAGTAACTTGGCATAGGCTCTATGCCCACATATCCGGTATAATCCAGTGGAGGCTGTCTAGTCCCGATGGGACTCCAGGTGGGTCCACATTGTTTGCAACTTTGGAAATTTACTAAAGGATTTTTCTCAGTGTGGTTTGAACTCCACCAGGTGGCTGTTTTTGTAGTGCTATTATATGGTTTTTGCCCAAGGCAGCTGAGTCTTCCTACAGGAAGGGTGAAGTCCTTCCCCACTCATGCTATACGGTATTGTCTATGATTTAGGCTTTTTGAGCCGGGAATTCATCAGGAACTGGGTCTGTAGGTAATACTTCTTGGGCTTCCCATGGTCTTTGATCTCCCATTACAGTTCCTCCACATACATAACATGAAGTGACATTGAGAGACTGGGCTACATGCTTGGCTAATTGCAAAAACAAATTTCTTGTTTTTCCTGGAATTTCTGGTACTGGCACATTCAGTTCATCATAGAAGGTTTGAAATACCGGTTCAGGAGCGCATTTATAAACTTCTCCTCAAACCATGATATTTACTCGAGGATCCAGTCCAGCCCCATCGATTCCTAGGGTTACACGCTCCCCTTTTTTCTAGCGAGGATCAAGGGGGTTGGTTATTTAGTAATAACTCAGGGGTTACACTGACCACTGATACAGGAAGGGCCACTTTTCCCTTTTTGAAGGTGAACAGGATCCTTTTCATTTTTTATCCAAGTAGCCTAAATGACACAAGACCAGTACACATTCATTTTCACACAGTCCTAATTCAGGACAAATGTACTTATTTTCTGCCATATAGCCTCTTTCCTTATTAAGAGAACCACATCCTATTCCTAACTTATTATTATTAATGACAGTACAGGCATCAAATTTCAAGGTGACTTGTCTGGGCACCCCTTTTTCTTCTGTTTTGGCTAACACTTAACTCATATCATTTATGAGCCCCCACCAGTCCTCAGTCCTTAATCTTGTTTCAAAAACTGTGGTCATGGGAGGCTCAGATGGGTCATAACACACATCAGGTTGGTCATTTCCTGGGCTACATACCTTGTATAGAATAGCATTATACAAATGAGTTCTTTTTAGACTCCTGGTACACTTATAATAACCATAAAATAAGAGGACTGTAGCAACTTTTTGTCCTACCTCAGTGGCTTGATGTACACACTGGGAACAGTCCTCAGTCTGAGGAAGGTCAGTTGAAATCCTTAGTGTACAAGTCCAAATTTTAAGGAAAATGAGCCCACGATGAGTTTTCTCATGCTTCAGTCATACGTGGACTAGTCAGCTTATGGGTGTGACTGGAGCAGGGCTTGTCGTCTTCTTCAGAGTCATTTTGCAGAGGTTGGCGAAGCTGCTCCCGTCCACGTACAGCTCACAGTCTGCTGATGTTCAAGGATGGTCTCAGAGGTTGGACTCACTAGAATAAACTGAGTCCAATACCTCTACACAGTTATGTTTAACTGGGCTCTCTGATACCAGCAGCAAGGTGGCAGGGTTTAGGGTGCTGCAAACTTCAGTGGTTATGCGGGGATTTTCACATAGCAAGCTTTGGTACTTGGTTAATCTAACATTTGTTAGCCAATGATGTCATTTGGTATTCATCAAAGTTACCACAGCATGGGGGGCCTTTATATTCAGGTTTTGCCCAAGGGTTAGTTTATCTGCTTCTTGTGCTAACAGGGCTGTTGCTGCCAGCCTTAGACATGGGGGCCAGCCTTTGGAAACCCCGTCTAGTTGTTTTGAGAGATAGGCCCCTGGCCTTGGCCAGGGCCCCACAGTCTGGGTTAAAACTCCAACTGCCATTTCACACATAGAGTGTAAAGGGTTTTGTCAGGTCAGGTAGCCCCAGGGCTGGGGCCGACATTAGTTTTTCTTTTAACTCATGAAAAGCTCATTGCTATTGGTTGTAATAGATGTAGTTTATCCAATCTACATTTTTATTAACTGTCACCCACCAAAATATTGACTCAAATCCTGCAGCTATTTGATTTCAAGCTTTAAATTGATCTGGTATTCCCCATGGGACTCCAATTGCATCTAAATAGATATGAGAGTCGAAAGACCCATAAGGGGCTTCTCTCGCTTTATGATGTCTTATTTTCTCTCCCTCTGGTTGATGAAATGCCAGGGTGGAAGGGACGGCCAATTGGACTAAAGCAAAAGTGACACTCCAGTTATTCAGCAGAGTGCCCAGTAAAGGTTTACCACAATACCACCACACATCCGCTGGGGGATGAACAAGGGCTGACTGATTGATAAGCTCTTGAAAATTCTCAAGCTCACTGCATCCTTTCAGGTCTCCAAGGAATGCTAAGTTTCCTCCCTGTCGTGAGAGACACAAAGCAAACTTAGTGTTGGGAGACAGAAGCTGGATGGCCCTCGGGGACTGACCTGCAGGGTGCCAGACTTCGGGATATAGCAGAGAAAGCTTGGCATGACTTATTACTCCAGGCTGTACAATCCTGGAAAAGAACTAACATGCAGCCCACACCTGGTCAACAGGAGGACCACCTTAGTGGAAAGGGGAAAATCTGGGTCTCTGGCCTGCCATGTGCACAAGCATAACAATTGCTTTTGTTTAACATGTGGACAGAATATTTGATCCATTCCAACCAGGCATTTGTATCTTGGTATCCTGTCTTAATTACCAAAGTTTGTTTTAAGTCTTTAATTTCTATGATCCTCTATAAAATGAAGGTATGATATTAGGAAATGACAAAAACTGGTTGGGGCAGTCCATCCTTGCTCTTTAGTGGTCCACAGAACATTGGACCAACTATAGCATAAAAGCTCTACATTGTGGGGCAAGACTCCTCATTGTCACTGGGGTCTTTATTGAAATCTCCCTGGATTAAATGGTCCCAGTTTACTAATGCCCAGTCTGAGGAGAGTCAGGAGGGACAGAGGTACTTTTCTGAAGTAGAGAGCTGTCTTTGACTTGGCAAGTTCCCACAGAGTATAACAAGGCAAGCATTAAATGCAATAGTTTGAGGTGAAATTGACTTGGTTATGTTAATAACTAGTCAGCAATAGAGCGAGGAAAGAAGAAAGACTAATAGAATAGATGAAGGAGTTAAACTTTTCTTAGCTTTAGTTTGGTAGGGTTTTCCCCTAGGACTGTGGCCTACGACTCTGGAGGGAGTGGTGCTTTGACTCGGGTGTGATGAATCCATCACTTGTTCACTATACGAACAGCAGTCTCAGTGGTTAGCAGCACAAGGTAGGGTCCTTCCCAGGCTGGCTTGAGTTTTCCTTTTTTCCACCCTTTGATGAGAAGGTAATCTTCAGGCTGGTTTACTGGAAATTCTATTGGTGGTAACTGTGCTAAAAGACTTTTAGTTTTGAGGGAAAGGAAAGTGGAAGATAAACCAAGTATATAATTTCTAAGAAACTGACATTTTGTTTTAAATGTGGGGACATCAGCAGTGGACTTTATAGTCCTTGGTGCCTTCTTACTGATAAATTTCCTTTAGCACCTATTTTTATTAGTTTTTAGACCAAAGAAAGCCAAACATCATTTTATATTTAATAATGCTTCCTGTATGATTTTTATACCAGATAAGCTAAATTTCACGTTTGTATTAGTGTGTTATTAATGTTAAACTTAATTTTAATAAAACTTTGTAGACATATTTATTCAATTTTTAATGTCAGACCATAAGGTGAGATTTTTATAGACTCTTTTTAACCTTTTATAATCTTTGTTAGAGAGCAGGTCAGTGCTTTAAGAAAAACCCATTGTGTTTTTACTTTAATGTCCAGTTCACAGAAAAACTGGATGATACCCCTTTAACTTTAGCTAATATGTTTACACACAGAATTTTCTTTACAATTAACATTTTAAAACTTGCTTAAACCTTCAAAACAAATTGTTTTAACCTTTTAATATAGGTAAAAATTTATATTCTTATGCCTTCTTATCATCCTTTTACTAAAGGTATATTTTACTTTCCTTATACACCCTGCACATAAACTGTTTCCTCAATAGTTTTACATTCAGGAGGCCAAATTACTTTTAAATTATACAACATTTCTTGCATAAATTCTTTTTTTATAACAATTTTTTTCTCCTTCACAACTTCACAGACAATTCTTCGACATGCCTCAATTTTCTGACTTATTACTAACATTTCTTTCTTTAAACAACCAGTTAATTTATTTCAGGACAAGAATTTACCATATAACATTCTTTTTACATAAATTCTGACCCCCCATTCCCCCCCCCTTTTTTTTTTTTTGAAGATGATAACCATTTTTTTCCAAAGCAAACTTTCTTTATGTGTGTCTAAGGCCACAAGATTAGAAGTTACTGTAATGCATGTTACACCGTTAACTTTTAGCAAACTTTACTTTTATTGAAAACCTTGTAAGTTTGGGATTTCAATTATCTTTTGCTATTAATAAGACCTTGTTTAGTCTAAATTAACTTAGAATTTGTATAGATGCCTTTTTTTTTTTCCTTCAATTACCCGGGAGAAACCATCTATTGTCCTGTCCTGAAGGGAGTTCCTCCTAGGTCTGGTCTGACCTTTGCATGGTAATTAAGATTTAGATCCCCTGTTAGGAAACCTGCTGGGTTAAGGGAATTTTCAGTGGTTAATGTTAAATCATCTTTTTTTCTCTTTTTTTTTTTAACTAAGGATACTTCTGAACTAGTGAGGTGTGCTTATAATGACGTTTCCTCTAAAAGTTATTTTTCTACTTTCTTCTGTTAGCAAAGCAGTTGCCACTACAGATTGAATGCATTTGGGCCATCCACGGGTTACTGGGTTAAGGATTTTTTATTGGAAGGCTACAGGTTGCCAGCGGCCTCAGTGCTTTCAGGCTACGCCCTTGTTTACACTTACAACAAGGTGGTATTGGAGTGTTGTAGGGTCAATTATCAATTACAGTTTTAATTTACCCTGGCTTTTAAAGGAATCAGGTACACTGGGTTTTTTTTTTTGGTTTTTTTTGTTTGTTTGTTTTTTTCTCAACTACTTGTATATTTCTCTTTTTCTTTCTTTCTCTCTTTGACTTTGTCTCTCTCTTTTCCTTTTGCCTCTGTCTCTTCCTCTCTCTCTGCCTCTCTCTCTCTCTCCTTGACTCTGCTTTGTCTGTCTCTTCCTCTCTCTCTTTGCCTCTTTTCTTCTCTATCTCTATTCTCTCTCTCTCTCTCTCTCTGCTGGTCTTTCCTTGCCTCTGCCAGCCACTTATGCTGCTGTTCTCTCAACCACTGTGGGGGGCATCTAAAACCAGCTGTAACCAAGTGTCTATGTACGGGAACTGATCTGGGTGCCCTGGCTTACAGGTTACCTGTGCCATACCTTTGAAACAAGGGACCTGTACTGGCTTCCTTCTGATGGCCAACCCATGTCTAACGCTGGCCAGTCTATTTCACACAAAGTTCTAAGTTTTCCTGGTGTCATAGTAACACTGTAATCTCCCTTAAATCCTTTCTTGAAATTTTTCATCATAGTTCCTCGTGGGGTGGGCTTACTTCGTGCCTGACCCATGCTTCCTCAAGACAAAACACCATGCTCACACCACAAGCACACTACAAAAGAAAAAATGGGTAAAACGGGCACACACACACTTTTACAGTTTACACCAAACCAGAATCAAAACCAAAATCAGAGTATCAAGAAATCCAGGAGGTTCCAAGATGGCCGAATAGGAGCAGCTCCAGTCTACAGCTCTCAGTGTGAGCGACACAGAAGACGGGTGATTTCTGCATTTCCAACTGAGCTTTGAAGAGAATAGTGGTTCTCCCAGCATGGAGTTTGAGATCTGAGAACGGACAGACTGCCTCCTCAAGTGAGTCCCTGACCCCTGAGTAGCCTAACTGGGAGGTACCTCCCAGTAGGGGCCGACTGACACCTCACACAGCCGGGAGCCACTCTGAGACAAAGCTTCCAGAGGAACGATCAGGCAGCAACATTTGCCGTTCTGCAATATTTGCAGTTCTGCAGCCTCCTCTGGTGATACCCAGGCAAACAGGGTCTGGAGTGGACCTCCAGCAAACTCCAACAGACCTGCAGCTGAGGGTCCTGACTGTTAGAAGGAAAACTAACAAACAGAAAGGACATCCACAACACAACCCCATCTCTACGTCACCATCAACAAAGACCAAAGGTAGATAAAACCAGAAAGATGATGGGGAGAAACCAGAGCAGAAAAGCTGAAAATCCTAAAAATCAGAGCACCTCTTCTCCTCCAAAGGAACGCAGCTCCTTACCAGCAATGGAACAAAGCTGGATGGAGAATGACTTTGACAAGTTGAGATAAGAAGGCTTCAGAAGATCGGTAATAACAAACTTCTCTGAGCTAAAGGAGGATGCTTGAACCAATTGCAAAGAAGCTAAAAACCTTGAAAAAAGACTGGACGAATGGCTAACTAGAATAAACAGCATCGAGAAGAACTTGAATGACCTGATGGAGCTGAAAACCATGGCATGAGAACTACGTGATGCATGCACAAGCTTCAGTAGCCAATTCGATCAAGTGGAAGAGAGGGTATCAGTGACTGAAGATAAAATTAATGAAATGAAGTGAGAAGAGAAGTTTAGAGAAAAAAGAGTAAGAAGAAATGAATAAAGCCTCCAAGAAATATGGGACTATGTGAAAAGACCAGGTCTACATCTGATTGGTGTACCTGAAAGTGATGGGGAGAATGAAACCAAGTTGGAAAACACTCTTCAGGATATAATCCAGGAGAACTTCCCCAACCTAGCAAGGCAGGCCAACATTCAAATTCAGGAAATATGGAGAACACCACAAAGATACTCCTCGAGAAGAGCAACTCCAAGACACATAATTGTCAGATTCACCAAAGTTGAAATGAAGGAAAAAATGTTAAGGACAGCCAGAGAGAAAGGTCGGGTTACCCACAAAGGGAAGCCCATTAGACTAACAGCGGATCTCTCAGCAGAAACTCTACAAGCCAGAAGAGAGTGAGGGCCAATATTCAACATTCTTAAAGAAAAGAATTTTCAACCCAGAATTTCACATCCAGCCAAACTAAGCTTCATAAGTGAAGGAGAAATAAAATCCTTTACAGACAAGCAAATGCTGAGAGATTTTGTCACCACCAGGCCTGCCTTACAAGAGCTCCTGAAGGAAGCACTAAACATGGAAAGGAACAACCAGTACCAGCCACTGCAAAAACATGCCAAATTGTAAAGACCATCGAGACTAGGAAGAAACTGCATCAACTAATGAACAAAATAACCAGCTAACATCATAATGACAGGATCAAATTCACACATAACAATATTAACCTTAAATGTAAATGTGCTAAATACTCCAATTAAAAGACACAGACCAGCAAACTGGATAAAGAGTCAAGACCAATCAGTGTGCTGTATTCAGGAGACCCATCTCACGTGCAGAGACACACATAGGCTCAAAATAAAGGGATGGAGGAAGATCTACCAAGCAAATGGAAAACAAAAAAAAGCAGGGGTTGCAATGCTAGTCTCTGATAAAACAGACTTTAAACCAACAAAGATCAGAAGAGGCAAAGAAGGCCGTTACATAATGGTAAAGGGATCAATTCAACAAGAACAGCTAACTATCCTAAATATATATGCGCCCAATACAGGAGCACCCAGATTCATAAAGCAAGTCCTTAGAGACCTACAAGGAGACTTAGACTCCCACACAATAATAATGGGAGACTTTAACACCCCACTTTCAACATTAGACAGATCAATGAGACAGAAAGTTAACAAGGATATCCAGGAATTGAACTCAGTTCTGCACCAAGCAGGCCTAATAGACATCTACAGAACTCTCCACACCAAATCAACAGAATATACATTCTTCTCAGCACCACATTGCACTATTCCAAAATTGACCACATAGTTGGAAGTAAAGCACTCCTCACAAATGTAAAAGAACAGAAATTATAACAAACTGTTCCTCAGACCATGGTGCAATCACATTAGAACTCAGGATTAAGAAACTCACTCAAAACTGCTCAACTACACGGAAGCTGAAAAACCTGCTCCTGAATGTCTACTGGGTCCGTAACGAAATGAAGGCAGAAATAAAGATGTTCTTTGAAACCAATGAGAACAAAGACACAACATACCAGAATCTCTGGGACACATTTAAAGCAGGGAGTAGAGGGAAATTTATAGCACTAAATGCCCACAAGAGAAAGCAGGAAAGATCTAAAATTGACACCCTAACATCACAATTAAAAGAACTAGAGAAGCAAGAGCAAACACATTCAAAAGCTAGCAGAAGGCAAGAAATAACTAAGATCCAAGCAGAACTGAAGGACATAGAGACACAAAAAACCCTTCAAAAAATCAGTGAATCCAGGAGTTGGTTTTTTGAAAAGATCAACAAAATCGATAGACTGCTAGCAAGACTAATAAAGAAGAAAAGAGAGAAGAATCAAATAGACACAATAAAAAATGATAAAGGGGATATCACCACCGATCCCACAGAAATACAAACTACCATCAGAGAATACTATAAACACCTCTATGCAAATAAACTAGAAATTCGAGAAGAAATGGATGAATTCCTGGACACATACACCCTCCCAAGACTAAACCAGGAAGAAGCTGAATCCCTGAATAGATCAATAACAGGCTCTGAAATTGAGGCAATAATTAATAGCCTACCAACCAAAAAAAGTCAAGGACCAGACAGATTCACATCCGAATTCTACTAGAGGTACAAAGAGGAGCTGGCACCATTCCTTCTGAAACTATTCCAATCAATACAAAAAGAGAGAATCCTCCCTAACTCATTTTATGAGGCCAGCAGTATCCTGATACCAAAACCTGGCAGACACAACAAAAAAAGAGAATTTTAGACCAATATCCCTGATGAACATCGATGCAAAAATCCTCAATAAAATACTGGCAAACCAAATCCTGCAGCACATAAAAAAGTTTATCCACCATGATCAAGTGGGCTTCATCCCTGGGATGCAAGGCTGGTTCAACACACACAAATCAATAAATGTAATCCAGAGTATAAACAGAACCAAAGACACAAACCACATGATTATCTCAATAGATGCAGAAAAGACCTTTGACAAATTCAACTGCCCTTCATGCTAAAAACTCTAAATAAATTAGGTATTGATGGGACATATCTCAAAATAATAAGAGCTATTTATGACAAACCCACAGCCAATATCATGCTGAATGGGCAAAAACTGGAAGCATTCCCTTTGAAAACTGGTACGAGACAAGGATGCCCTCTCTCACCACTCCTATTCAACATAGTGTTGGAAGTTCTGGCCAGGGCAATCAGGCAGAAGAAAGAAATAAAGGGTATTCAATTAGGAAAGGAGGAAGTCAAATTGTCCTTGTTTGCAGATGACATGATTTTATATTTAGAAAACCCCATCATCTCAGCCCAAAATCTCCTTAAGCTGATAAGCAACTTCAGCAAAATCTCAGGATACAAAATCAATGTGTAAAAATCACAAGCATTCCTATACACCAATAACAGACAGAGAGCCAAATCATGAGTGAACTCCCATTCACAATTGCTTCAAAGAGAATAAAATACCTAGGAATCCAACTTACAATGGACATGTAGGACCTCTTCAAGGATAACTACAAACCACTGCTCAATGAAATAAAAGAGGACACAAACAAGGAAGAACATTCCATGCTCATGGATAGGAAGAATCAATATCATGAAAATGGCCATACTGCCCAAGGTAATTTATTGATTCGATGCCATCCCCATCAAGCTACCAAGGACTTTCTGCACAGAATTGGAAAAAACTACTTTAAAGTTCATATGGAACTAAAAAAGAGCCCACTTTGCCAAGACAATCCTAAGCAAAAAGAACAAAGCTGGAGGCATCACACTACCTGCCTTCAAACTATACTACAAGGCTACAGTAACCAAAACAGCATGGTACTGGTATCAAAACAGATACATAGACCAATGGAACAGAACAGAGCCCTCAGAAACAATACCACACATCTACAACCATCTGATCTTCGACAAACCTGACAAAAACAAGAAATGGGGAAAGGATTCCCTATTTAATAAATGGTGCTGGGAAAACTGGCTGGCCATATATAGAAAGCTGAAACTGGATCCTTTCCTTACACCTTATGCAAAAATTAATTAAAGATGGATTAAAGACTTAAATGTCAGACCTAAAACCATAAAAACCCTAGAAGAAAACCTAGGCAATACCATTCAGGACATAGGCATGGGCAAGGACTTCTTGTCTAAAACAGCAAAAGCAATGGCAACAAAAGCCAAAATTGACAAATGGGATCTAATTAAACTAAAGAGCTTCTGCACAGCAAAAGAAACTACCATCAGAGTGAACAGGCAACCTACAGAATGGGAGAAAATTTTTACAATCTACCTGTCTGACAAAGGGCTAATATCCAGAATCTACAAAGAACTTAAACAAATTTACAAGAAAAAAACAAACAACCCCATCAAAAAGTGGGCAAAGGATATGAACAGACACTTCTCAGAAGACACTTATGCAGCCAACAGACACATGAAAAAACGCTCATCATCACTGGCCATCAGAGAAATGCAAATCAAAACCACAATGAGATACCATCTCACACCAGTTAGAATGGAGATCATTAAAAAGTCAGGAAACAATGGGTGCTGAAGAGGATGTGGAGAAATCGGAACACTTTTGCACTGTTGGTGGGATTGTAAACTAGTTCAACCATTGTGGAAGACTGTGGCGATTCCTCAAAGATCTAGAACTAGAAATACCATTTGACCCAGCCATCCCATTACTGGGTATATATACAAAGGATTATAAATCATGCTGCTATAAAGACACATGCACACTTATGTTTATTGTGGCACTATTCACAATAGCAAAGACTTGGAACCAAGCCAAATGTCCATCAATGATAGACTGGATTAAGAAAATGTGGCACATATACACCATGGAATACTATGCAGCCATAAAAAGGATGAGTTCATGTCCTTTGTAGGGACATGGATGAAGCTGGAAACCATCATTCTGAGCAAACTATCACAAGGACAGAAAACCAAACACTGTATGTTGTCACTCATAGGTGGGAATTGAACAATGAGAACACTTGGACACAGGGTAGGGAACACCACACACCGGGCCTGTCATAGGGTCGGGGGAGGGGATAGCATTAGGAGATATACCTAATGTAAA